>NC_000001.11:241790182-241941697 GCF_000001405.40 Homo sapiens | reverse complement strand
GGGTTTCACCATGTTGGCCAGGTTGGTCTCGAACTCCTGACTTCAGGTGATCTGCCCGCCTCGGCCTCCCAAAGTGCTGGGATTACAGGCGTGAGCCACCGCGCCCGACCTGACTAGTGATTCTTAATTCTGGCTGCCCATCACTGAGGACTTAAAAAAACACAGATGTGGCTGGGCGTGGTGGCTCACACCTGTAATCCCAGCAGTTTGGGAGGCTGAGGCAGGCGGATCACCTGAAGTAAGGAGTTCAAGACCAGCCTGGCCAACATGGTGAAACCCCATCTCTATTAAAAATATAAAAATTAGCCAGACATGATGGTGCGTGCCTGTAATCCCAACTACTTGGGAGGCTGCGGCAGGAGAATCGCTTGAACCTGGAAGGTGGAGGTTGCAGCAAGTGGAGATCGCGCCATTGCACTTCAGCCTGGGCGATAGAGTGAGACTCCATCAGAAATACAAAACAAAAATGTGCCCTGCCTTTGCTAGATTCTAATTTAATTTATTTAGTTTGAGACACTGAATCTGCATTTTCTTAAGCTCCCTAGGTGACCCAGAGTACAATCAGAGTTGAGAACCAGAAGATAGAAGATGTCCTTGCACTGGGTCTTGAAATATCTGTAGATTCACACAGAAAAAAAAAAAAAAAGAAAAAAAAGAGGGACAAAATATTCTGAATGGACATGAGAACATGAAATATTCAGAACATAAAATATTCTGAATGGACATGAGAACATGAGAGATGGGAGCTACTCATGTGCAGGCATGGAATCTTGTAATTTTAGAATTGGAAGTAACCATAAAAATTATTGGGCCAGGTGTGGTGGCTCATACCTGTAATCCCAGCACTTGCGAAGCTGAGGTGGAAGGATTGCTTAAAGCCAGGAGTTTGAGGCTAGCCTGGGAAACATAGCAACACCCTATTTCTACAAAAGTAAAAATAGCCATGCGTGATGGTACATCCCTGTAGTTCCAGCTACTCTGGAGGCTGAGTTGGGAGGATTGCTTGAGTCCAGGAGTTCGAGGTTGTAGTGAGCCGAGATCACGCCACTGCCTTCCAGCCTGGGCAATAGAGCAAGATCCTGTTTCAAAAACAAAACAAAACAAAGCTCTCTGTTTACGTGTCTCCTACTATGTTTATCATTACTGCTGTTAAAATAGTTGTTCATATACACATATATATAAATATAGTATTTATCATTTATATAATTTATTATAGATGTGTGAATATATGTATATAAAATTGGTGGTTTATAGTTTGTTGAGAACTTTTATCTGAGTTATTTTGAGTTCCGTAATGATTCTATGAGGTCATGAAAATCATTCATCCTATTTTATAGTTGAGGAAACTGAAGCCACTGAAGCTCAGTGACTTTGGCAGCTGCTGGTATTGAGATGTGCCAGGACACAAAAGAAGTGGGAGAGACGAAGAAAGATAATTTGAGGGACTTTCATTTTAGGTGGGAGTAGGGGGATTTTTATTCATATTAGTAACCATCCTGATAATGGGTAAAAATGCTGGAAGAAATATGAAAAACTTCTTAAAGTATAGAGGGACTAAAATATCGTGAGGAATGACAAGGCCAGTGTCTAGGAGAAGGCAAGAACACAGAAAGGTGAGCAGAAACTTCACAGCTTACTTTTGCCCTGTGAGCATTTGCTGATCTGGATGAATCAGCTGCTGAGCTGAGACATGGGGAGAGGCTAGCAGAGGTGAAGGCCCAAGGCACTCTACATAGAGAAAAGATGACAGATGTTTCCCTCATAATCAGAACCAGAAGGGAACCAGAAGTCAACCATTCCCCATTTCCCATCTTTCTAGAATTGCAGGAAGAGTTGTCTTGTTGCTGAGAGATGGAGGAGGCATGAAGAAAAAAAGGGCATCTTTGATTTTATAAACCTAGTGCCCACCCTTGCTAGGAATTGAATTTAAAGTGGTTTGATACCAGCAGTGTCCCAGGAATTTAGTAAATGCAAATGCAAAATCTCAGTAGAGGAAAGAACCTATGCTTTTGGGAACCCTAAAAATTGTTCAAGGGAGATGAAAAGCATACAGTCAAAGATGCTAATCACATTTTGAATGAGAACCGGCAAAATAAAAGATGACATAACTGACCTCCAATGACTTTGAAAATTGGAATTATCAGACATAGATTATTATAAAGAATAATTGTATTTTAAAACATAAGACAATCAAAAATATGAGTAAAGATATTATAAATTGGATCATAGCAGATTTGAAAAGGAAACAAAAAATAACTTATTTTATTTTTGTAGAGACAGAGTCCCTTTCTGTTGGCCAGGCTGGTTTTGAATGCCTGGTCTCAAGCAGTCCTCCAACCTTGGCCTCCCAAAACGCTGGGATTACAGGCATGAGCTGCCACACCTGGCTAAAAAGGAATTTCTGTGAAGGAAAAGTTTAATAACTGAAATTAAAACTTCAATGTAATGGATGAGTTTGGAAACCAATTGAACATAGTTGAAGAGAAAGTTACAGATTTAGAAGATAGGTCAGAAGGAGTTGTCTATAATACCACACAGATAAAAACATGGAAAATATGGTAGCTAGGTTAAAAGATGTCAGTGACAGAATAGGATAGTCTAACATACATTTAATCAAAGTTCCAATTGAAGCAAAGAGAGAATTGACAGAGTCAACATATGAAGAAATAATGACAGCAAATTCTCTATAACAGATGAAAGACTTTAATCCATAAATAAATCCCCAGTTGAATAACATTTTTTAAAGGCACACCTGTGTACATCATAGTAAAACTGTAAAACAGAAGTTAATCGGGAATGTTTTAAATCAGAGAAAAAGAAACAAACTTCTTTAGAGTAGCTGTAATTAGGGTGAGAGCAGAGTTCCTTATTGCCTTAAGATATAATGGTATAAAATCATTCATATGTTAGGAAAAAAATAACTGCCAACCTATGCTAAATGGAAGATTTTTCAAGAATGAGAGCCAGTCGGGCACAGTGGCTCCTCACGCCTGTAATCCCAGCACTCTGGGAGGCCGAGGTGGGTGGATTACTTGAGGTCAGGAGTTCAAGACCAGCCTGGCCAACATGGTGAAACCCTGTCTCTACTAAACATACAAAAAAAAAAAAAAATGCCAGGCATGGTGGGGCACGCCTATAATCCTAGCTACTCAGGAGGCTGAGGCAGGAGAATTGCTTGAACCTGGGAGACAGAGGTTGCAGTGAGCTGAGATCGCGCCACTGCACTCCAGCCCCAGCAACAGAGCAAGACTCCATCTCAAAAAACAAAAGCAAAAGCAAACAAACATAAAAAGAATGAGAGCCAAATACAGACATTTTCAGAACAAATAAAACTTAAGAGAGTTCATCACCTGTAGACCCTCACGTGAAGGAAATTCTAAAAGAATTGGTATATACATAGGGAAATCTATACAGACTCTGACCTCCTCAAAATCAATCATATGGAGCTTAAAAAAAAAAAAACGAAAAAGAAAAAGAAAAAGAAAATCACGCCTGTAATCCCAGCATTTTGGGAGGTGGGCGGATCATCTGAGGTTGGGAGTTTGAGACCAGCCTGACCAACATGGTAAAACCCGTCTCTACTGAAAATACAAAATTAGCCAGGTGTGGTGGCGCACGCCTGTAATCCCAGCTACTTGGGAGGCTGAGGCAGGAGAATCACTTGAACCTGGGAGGCAGAGATTGAGGTGAGCTGAGATGGCACCATTGCACTTTAGCCTGGGCAACAAGAGTGAAACTCCGTCTCAAAAAAAAAAAACAAAACAAAACAAAAAAAAACTAAAAGGCATATAATAAAGAAACACTGGAGTTGATAAATGGAGTTAAAATTCTAAATTTCTTATCCGGGATGAGAGTAAATAAATTAAAGAAATTTATACTGTTAATAAAATATATTGTAATTTATTTTTTAATAAAAAATTTAAATAATCTATTCACAACTATACTCAATGTGTTTTAATTTCTAGTATCACCACAAAAAGAATGGAAATTGACTACAAACTTCTAAACTATTTGAGTGAGAAATGGTAAATAGACAATATAAAGAGATGTAAAAAATATATAAAAAGAAAAAATCACAAAACAGAAAAACAAAATTCGTAAATTTATGATACAATAAAATCAAAATAGGTTGGGTGCAGTGGTTCATGCCTGTAATCCTAGCACTTTGGGAGGTTGAGGCAAGAGGATCGTTTGAGCCCAAGAGTTTGAGACCAGCCTGGGCAACATGGTGAAAACCCATCTCTACAAAAAATACAATAAATTAGCTGAGTGTGGTGCAGCCCACTTGTAATCCCAGCTACTTGAGAGGCTGAGGCAGGAGGATCACTTGAACCCAGGAGATGGAGGTTGCAGTGAGCCGAGATCATACCACCGCACTTCAGCCTTGGTGACAGAGCGAGGCCCTGTCTCAATTAAAAAATAAATAAATTAATTAAAAGAAGATAAAAATATATTACCTATTTATACTAAATGTGAATAGACTATAAGTCAAGGACAACTTTTAAAAAATTTATATTTTTATTCAGTAATAAGAGACACATTGCTGGGTTCAGTAGCTCATGCCTGTAATCCCAGCACTTTGGGAGGCTGCGACGGGCAGATCACTTGAGCTCAGGGGATCGAGACCAGCCTGGGCAACATGGCAAAACCCCACCTCTACCAAAAATACAAAAATAGTCTAGTATAGTGGCTCACGCCTATAGTCCCAGAGACTGGGAGACTGAGGCAGGAGGATCACTTGAGCCTGGGAGGTGGAGGTTGTAGTGAACCGAGATTGTGCCATTGTATTCCAGCTTGGGCAACAGAGGGAGACCCTGCCTCAAAAATAAAAAAGGTGGAAAAATATATACTGTATCATGCAAATACTAATTTCTCTAAAATCTGTATAGCTATATTAATATCCAACAAAATTGACCTTAAGGCAAAGAGCATTATAAAAGGTAAAGGAAGATATACCATTATAATAAATGTTCAAGTCATTTGACGATAAATCAACATTAGTCTATGAACCAAAGCAAGGCAGGATTTATAAAAGCACATTTGGAGTCTATGGAATAGTGACATGCCTCCCGCCCCTTATGTAAAATAATTAGCTTATCGATGCCCTCCAGGAACACACCTGGAGTTAAACAAAATTGAGTTTTTGTTCTCCCTGCAACAAGGGAGAAGGCACACTGTGGAGAACTATGAGGCATCACAATAGAAGGGCCAGAAAAGACTGATTAAAGGATTTGGGTTTGTGTTGGATGATCTGGGGAGGGCTTAAGGAAGCAAGGCTTTGCTTTGGATTAGATGCTGTCAGAAAGTAGAAGTAATTCTGTAATTGGTTTTTTGTTTTTTTTTTGAGATGGAGTCTCGCTCTGTCACCCAGGCTGGAGTGCAGTGGTGTGATCTTGACTCACTGCAACCTCTGCTTCCTTGGTTCAAGCAATTCTCTGCCTCAGCCTCCCAAGTAGCTGAGATTACAGGCACCCACCAGCATGCCCAGCTAATATTTTTATTTTTAGTAGAGATGGGGTTTCACCATCTTGGTCAGGCTAGCCTTGAACTCCTGACCTCTTGATCCACCTGCCTCAGCCTCCCAAAGTGTTGGGATTACAGGCGTGAGCCACCACGCCTCGCTTTTTTTTTTTTTTTTTTTTTTTTGAGACAGTCTCACTTTGTGGTCTAGGCTGGAATGCAATGGTGCAATCTCGGCTCACTGCAACCTCTGTCTCCCAGGTTCAAACGATTCTCCTGCCTCAGTCTCCCTAGTAGCTGGGATTACAGTTGCCCACCACCACGCCTGGCTAATTTTTGTAGTTTTAATAGAGATGGGGTTTCACCATGTTGGCCAGGCTGGTCTCAAACTCCTGACCTCAGGTGAACTGCCCACCTCGGCCTCCCAAAGTGCTGATATTATAGGAGTGAGCCAAGGAGCCTGGCCTATAAGTGGGTATCTTAATCATTCTTATCTGCTGGGCGCGGTGGCTCATGCCTGTAATCCCAGCACTTTGGGAGGCCAAGGCAGGCAGTTCACCTGAGGTCAAGAGTTCGAGACTAGCCTGACCAACATGGAGAAACCTCGTCTCTACTAAAAGTACAAAATTAGCCAGGCGTGGTGGCACATGCCTGTAATCCCAGCTACTCGGGAGGCTGAGGCAGTAGAATAGCTTGAACCTGGGAGGTGGAGGTTGAGGTGAGCCAAGATGGTGCCATTGCACTCCAGCCTGGGCAACAAGAGTGAAACTCCATCTTAAATAATAATAATAATAATGATAATAATTCTTATCTGGAAGATGGGAATAACAGATTGTGACTGAAGCTGTAGCCAGTCAGAGCAGTCACTCATTAGCCAGGATAAGAAGCTACTTGGTCATTTGTGGTCTGGATGACATTCTTGCTTTTGTCTGTGCTCCAACTTGGTGACAGAGTAGTCTTGGTTTTGTGCTGATCCACCTCTGTCACAGAGTGGTCTTTCCTGATTGTCAGTGTTCTATGAAATTATTGTGTTTGTTGGGAGAACGCCACAGCCTAGCTGTGTGTGCCAGGCCAGCTCTTGGTATTAGGGGCTGCTTTCCTCATTTTCAGGCTGAATGCTGTCCGGGAGAGTCGTTTGCCCTTGAGCAGACTGACCGAGTTGTCAGGGAAGGCAACTTCAGTCTTGTGAGCCTTCCAAGAAACCATGTGATTTCAGCTGCAGAGTGGACATGGCGTGCTTGTCTGTAGCTGTTCCTGCCTTCGCCCCTCTACCTTAGCTAAGCCAGGTTTCCAACCGTTCCCTTACTAAGATTCTTCAGTTTTAATTTAATTTTTTGGTTTTGCACAATCAATGTGGCTTTGAGAGGTAATTTTTCTTTGACCTTATATTTTTATTTATGAGGTCAGAAACAAATTTGGTAAAACAGAGGGTTTGATTTCGGGGACTCAAATGAGTTTACAAATGTTTAGCACCAGGACCATTTCCCATGAAATGTCTTTATTCATATATTCCATGTTCCCCATTAGCATGAATCACTGACTCCGCTGTGACACTCCTAGAAATGAAGGCAACTGCTCCCTGGACAAGGTGCTTGGTGTGAGTAAAGTGTTTTCGTATCCACTGATGAAAGACACATGCAACAGTAAAATCAATTCAGTGCCTTTTTCCGACTTTTCCAGCCAAAAGCTCTGCTAAAATGTTGTGACTGTAGCTTCACAGCTGTGAAGAATTTTATTCTGTTACCGGCAATTCCATCCTTTTCGCTGCCGTGGTTTTCATTTCCCTCCTGGTGGTTTGAGTCCTCACGCCCAGTCTCTGCTCCCGTGGTCCACCTGAGCCACTTGCCCTGCTTTGAGATGACCTCATTCAGCCCTCCAGTTGCCATGGCAGCACCAGGAGTTCGGAGGAATGTTGTTTTCAAGGTCTCGGCAGCTCTTTCCTCTGGGGTGATTGATTCGGGATCTTTTGGGTTAGCATTCACATCAAAGAGACTCATTTAATTTTCCCAGCCACTTTTCTCTCCACATCTGTATCTAACCCCCTGCCCTCCGTGCTGGCTTTTCAGAAGATTTAGATACACTTATTCAGAGCTTTAAAGTTGTTTGGGCTTTAACATGCTTATTGACAAACAATCCACGGCTGGCCCATGTCTAGACCCTCAAATGCTGGGTAGGCACCACCTGGTTCACTGTAGTTTACTCATGGAGAAAATTCTGGATTCCTGTTACTGGCTGGAACTTTCTAGATGGCTGCCGTGACTCTAGGAAGAGTGAGGCTGGAAACTCCGGGAACTTTGGAGCCTAGCCCTTTCTGATTTCCAAGACTGGCTGCCTGCTCTTTCTCAGACCTGTCCTGACGTTCTTCTATGTTCTACTGGTTGACCGAGATAAGGATTTTAAGAGCGTTAGCCCCAATCCCAGCATGATAATTCCCAGGTTAAGATTAAGAATGAGGCTGGGAGTGGTGGCTCACACCTATAATCTCAGCACTTGGGGAGGCCAAGGTGGGGGGATCATTTGAGGTTGGAAGCTCGAGACCAGCCTGGCCAACTGGTGGAACCTCGACTCTACTAAAGAAATACAAAAATTAGCCAGGCATGGTAGCAGGTACCTGTTGTCCCCCCTACTTGGGAGGCTGAGGTATGAGAATTGCTTGAACCCGGGAGGCAGAGGTTGCAGTGAGCCGAGATCCCACCACTGTACTCCAGCCTGGGCAACAGAGCAAGACTCTGTCTCAAAAAAGAAAAAAAAAAAAAGGTAGGAATGAGCACCTGGTGGCTCACACCTATAATCCCAGCTCCTCAGGAGGCTGAGGTGGGATGGAATACTTGAAGCTAGGAACTAAGAGCAGCCTGCATTTAATAACCATAGTTAATACTTTAAATCAAAAGAGACATTTAAATAGAATGTTCTATGCTTCTGCTTTGAATAATATACCTTCATAAAAACCTGGAAGGCCAGGTTTGAATTGAGAATTCTTGGAGTCCTTGGTGTTCTGCATCAGGATGTGGTAGTGGGTGGTGGGAGGAGCTCTTCCCAGTTCACAGCTGTGGTCCCCCTACCTACCCTGTCATTCTGGCTTTCAGCTGTAGCACCGCGTGATGTGGCTTGCTCAGGCAGGGAAGGGGCCCACGTAGGCCCTGGAAGTGGGCTGTGCCTATTTTGGTAGGTCATTCTGGGGTCACAGTATCCTGGCATTGTTCAGAAGGGGCACGGCTTCTGGGTGGGCCTGTCACTCAGCTTGATGGGGACGGAGGCATGTGCTGGGGGCGCCCAGAGCAGTGGCCTCTAAATCAAGGGCCCAGGGCAGGGGCTTATCTTGCCCAGGTCTAAAGGTGATGTTGCTTTAGCCTACATCTATTTGAGGACAGGCCTTGGCAGACAGCAGGAGTCATTCTCCAACTGCGTTATATTTGAATTCAAATAATTGCTTGGAGATCTGTGTGCCTCTGGATTCCTGTCATTTTTTTCCCTCCTATTTCTACTTTTCTTAACTCATACCTCCTTCCTAGTTCTTGGATTCTGTTTATTTTTTTTATTTTTTTTTAATTTTTGGAGAAAGAGTCTTGTTCTGTTGCTTAGGCTGGAGTATAATGGCACAATCTTGGCTCACTGCAAACTCTGCCTCCTGGGTTCAAGTGATTCTCCTGCCTCAGCCTCCCAAGTAGCTGAGATTACAGGCACCCGCCACGACGCCCAACTAATTTTTGTATTTTTGTAGAGACGGGGTTTCACCATGTTGGTCAGGCTGGTCTCAAACTCCCGACCTCAAGTGATCTGCCCACCTTGGCCTCCCAAAGTGCTGGGATTACAGGCGTGAGCCACCGTGCCCAGCAGCTCCGTACTCTTAAATCCAGTGGTTTACATGGCAGCCTCACTTGGATGTTGCATAGATATTTAAACCTAGGAGGCCCAAAAAGAAACTGTTGGTTTTCCCTCTGGAATTTAGACTTCCCACCCCTGTCCCTGCAGGTAAACTTTCTGCCTCAGTCATGACAGCGGAGTCCATTAAAGCAGTGGGTCAGACCTTACACAGTGCTTCACCCTGGATTTCTTGCTTTTCCCCAAACCCACATTCCCTCCCTCAGCAAGCCCTGAAAATTTAACTCCAAATCGGACGTGGAATTGGCCCGCTCTTCCCCTGCGCTGGCTTACCCAAGCCTAGTGCAGCCTGGACTCCTCCATCCACTCCTGCCTTCTGTCCTTTCTTGCACAGTGACAACAATGTCCTTAATGTGCCAATGTGTTATTTGGATTATTTCACCTCATTGCTTGCAATTCTTTAAAGGCTTTTTTTTTTTTAAGACAGAGTTTGCTCTGTCGCCCAGGCTGGAGTGCAGTGCTGCGATCTCGGCTCACTGCAGCCTCTGCCTCCCGGGTTCACGCCATTCTCCTGCCTCAGCCTCCCAAGTAGCTGGGACTGCAGGCACCCACCACCACGCCTGGCTGTTTTTTTGTATTTTTAGTAGAGATGGGGTTTCACCGTGTTAGCCAAGATGGTCTCAATCTCCTGACCTCATGATCCGCCCACCTTGGCCTCCCAAAGTGCTGGGATTACAGGCGTGAGCCACCGCACCCGGCCACATATGGCATTTTATTTCATCTTCCATTACTCATTGATGGACTTATGCCTTTGCCTTCAGAGCTCACAACAGGCCAATGTCAAAACCACAACACAAAACACTACATGAATAAAAACAATCAAATCATCATTGTGATCAGAACATTCTCTCCCTACAGACCTATTTATGTGGGAAATAACTTTATAACCAGAAGATTGCTTGCAGATTCCATGATTAGTACCTTAGAATTCTACTGTGAAGAGAACCAGAATACTTCTTTTGCTCTCTAAAACCTTGGGAAAAACACTGGAAATCCACTGACCTATTACATTCTCTTTTTCCTATGTAAAGCATTGTTTGGCTTTCCAATCCCCTTGCCACAACCATGCATAACACTTGGTTGTGTATCTCCAGATTTTTCCAAATGTTCATGCAAAAGTACATGCGTACATTTCAGCCTTCGTTTATTATAAAAATGAGAACATTAATATATACACTTATGTCATTTTATTTCCACTTAAAACACCAGGTATATCAGGTTCTAGAGAAGATCCATGTAGATCTTCTCACTTCTTTGCAGATCTGGAATACTCCAGTACACAGATGATAACAAGAAAAAACATTTCATTCCTTTATTTAATAATGTATATGCATAGAGATGGGTCCTCGCTATGTAGCTCAAGCTGGTCTTCAGCTTCTGGGCTCGAGTGATCCTCCCACCTTGGCCTCACAAAGAGCTGGGGTTCCTGGTGTGAGCCACAGCCCCCAGCCTCATTCCTTTTTCCTTTTCTTTTTTCTTTTTTTTTTTTTGAGATGGCATCTCACTCTGTCACCCAGGCTGGAGTGTTGTGGAATCGTCTCGGCTCACTGCAACCTCTGCCTCCGAGGTCCAAGCGATTCTTATGCCTCAGCCTCCTGAGTAGCTAGGATTACAGATGCCTGCCACCACACCAGGCTAATTTTTGTATTTTTAGTAGAGACGGGGTTTCACCATGTTGTCCAGGCTGGTCTCGAACTCCTGACCTCCGGTGATTCGTCCGCCTCCGCCTCCCAAAGTGCTGGGATTACAGGCATAAGCCACCACGCCCAGCCTCATTCCTTTATTATGGTTGTTTGTTACACTGCCCAATACATATCTGATGAATGAGTGAATGCGTGAATGAATATATTTTTACAACCACTGTAAGTATGTTCTCTTTGGATTGAGATTATTGGCATAAAATTTAGATAAGCATTGCCATATTATTCTTCTAAAATGATGAACAAATTTGTACTCCTCTTCAATGACGCTTGAGACTGCCTGTTTTCCCATACCCCAGCTAACACTGAATAGTAATTATCCTTTAAATTTTTTCCCGTGAAACAAGTGAAAAATAATGATCTCACAACCATTTTAATTTTTAATTCCTTTAGTTATATAAAATGTGAAACATCTTTTCATATCTTCTTAAAAATTATTTTTATTTTTTTTCCTTTTTCATATCACCTTGTCTTAACAACTTTTCAGATCTTTATTGGCCATTTGGATTTCTTTTTCTGTCAATTGTTTGTTCCTATGCTATCATATTCTGAAAGTTTCTTTTTTTTTGAGACTGAGTCACGCTCTGTCACCCAGGCTGTAGTGCAGTGGTGCGATCTCGGCTCAGTGCCACCTCCACCTCCCAGGTTCAAGCAATTCTCCTGCCTCAGCCTCCTGAGTAGCTGGGATTACAGGTGCTTTCCACCACACCCAGCTAATTTTTGTATTTTTACTAAAGACAGGGTTTCACCCTGTTGACCAGGCTGGTCTCAAACTCCTGACCTCAAGTGATCCACCCTCCTTGGCCTCCCAAAGTGCTAGGATTACAGGTGTGAGCCACCATACCTGGCCTGAAAGTTTCTTTTTTCATTTTTTTAGAGACATGGTCTCACTCTGTTGCCTAGGCTGAAGTGCAGTGGTGCAATTATGGCTCACTGCAGCCTTGACATCCCAGGCTCAAGCGATGCTCCCACCTCAGCCCTCCAAGTAGCTGGGTCTACAGGTGTGCACCACCATCACTCCCAGCTAACTTTTGTACCTTTTTGTAGAGACAGGGTCTCCCTGTGTTGCCCAGGCTGACCTCAAACTCCTGGGTTCAAGCTCTGCGCCCACCTTGGCCTCCCAAAATGCTGGGATTACAGATGTGTGCCACCATGCCTGACCTCTTAAAGTTTCTTAACCTAAAAAGTGTATAACTATTACTCTGTATTCATAGTGTAATACTTAACCTAAAACACACCTTTAGGCAGCATAACTTTAAAATATATGATACTAAGAATATGAATAGCTTACTATGTGCTAAACACTGTTCTAAGAACATTCCATGTATTACCTCATTTAATCCTCTCCCAAACCCACATCTTAGTCCATTTGGGTTGCTATAACATAAATATCAGACTGGGTGGCTTCAACAACAAACATTTCTCACAGCTTTGGAGGCTGGGGAATCCAAGGTCAAGGTGCCAGCAGATTTGGTGTCTGGTGAGGGCTCATGTCCTGGTTCATAGATGGATGTCTTCTCACTGTACCTGCAAATGGTGGAGGGGCTGGCCAGCTCTCTGGGGTCTCTTTTAAAAGGGCACTAATCTCATTCATGGTGGGTTCCATCTTTAGTCACTTCCCAAAGTCCTCAACCTCCTAATACCATCACCCTGGGGGGTTAGGTTTCAACCTATGAATTTGGGGGGGACACAAACAGGCAGATCACAGAGACTCACAGGATAAATATTTTTATCATCTACTCTTATAAATGATAAACCTCAGGCACCAGAGATACTGAGATTTTCTTTTCTTTTCTTTTTTGAGATGGAGTCTCGCTCTGTCGCCGAGGCTGGAGTGCAGTGGCGCAATCTCAGCTCACAGCAAGTTCCGCCTCCCAGGTTCACGCCATTCTCCTGCCCCAAGTAGATGGGACTACAGGCGCCCGCCACCACGCCCGGCTAATTTTTTTGTATTTTTAGTAGAGACGGGGTTTCACCGTGTTAGCCAGGATGGTCTCGATCTCCTGACCTCATGATCCGCCCGCCTTGGCCTGCCAATGTGCTGGGATTACAGGCGTGAGCCACTGCGCCCAGCCGGAGATACTGAGATTTTCTAAGGTTGCATGGATGGGAAAGAGCAATGTGACCCTTCACGCATGGTGAGTTGATAGAAACTCCCATCTGTCTGCACAATGAGATGAGATTCTGAGTCTTCTCATTGACAGACTGTAGTAACTGCCCTGACGATGGACAGACCTCACTCACTTGCGTGCGGCTCTTTTCACAATAAGACTCCGCTTAGATGGAGCCAGTGACATCGTGTGTAGGGACCAGTGCAAACTGAACATGCACGGCTGTGGGTTACAAAATCATTCTGATCCAGGCGCGGTGGCTCACACCTGTAATCCCAGCGCTTTGGGAGGCCAAGGCGGGAGGATCGCCTTGAGGCCAGGAGTTCGAGACCAGCCTGGCCAACGTGGCAAAACTCCATCTCTAGTAAATATACAAAAATTAGCTGGACATGGTGGTGGGCGCCTGTAATCCCAGCTACCCGGGAGGCTGAGGCAGGAGACTTGCTTGAACCCAGGAGGTAGAGGTTACAGTGAGCCAAGATCACACCACTGCATTCCAGCCTGGGTGACAGAGCAAGACTGTGTCTCAAAAAAAATTATTCTGGGCCGGGTGCGGTGGCTCACACCTGTAATCCCAGCACTTTGGGAGGCCAAGGCGGGAGGATCACCTGAGGCCAGGAGTTCAAGACCAGCCTGGCCAACATGGCAAACCCCATCTCTACTAAAAGTACAAAAATTAGCCGGTCATGGTGGCAGGTACCTGTAATCCCAGCTACTTGGGAGGCTGAGGTAGGAGAATCGCTTGAACCCGGGAGGTGGAGGTTGCAGTGAGCCAAGGTCATGCCACTGCACTCCAGCCTAGGCAAAAGAGCGAGACTCCATCTCAAAAAAAAAAATTATTCTGAATTTCAAGACAGCAAGAGCAGAGTGTTAAAGTAAGGGGCTCCTGTAAGTGCAGGTCCTGCGTGACTGCCCAGGTCATATACTCACGAAGTCAGCCCTGGGCTGAAAGTACTGGGACAAGGTCTACAGTTTTAACAGATAAAGAAATTGACACAGACAGGTTAAGTAACTCTGCCAAAAGCACAGAGGCAGACCCGACCTTTGAACCTAGGTCTGTCTGATTATTAAGCATGTGTGGATTCTTTGCAAGACTCCACACTGTCTCTTCATATGGTGCCGGCTTATGTATGTGCTCAAATCATCCTGGTGGAATTGATCTTAACTTGAGCTGGAAGCAGGATGGAAGGAGAAGTATAAAGAGTGTACTTTTCCAAGGGAGGGGAAGGAAAAGCAGAGTGGTCTTACTGCCCAGGCCTCTGGACTCTAGAACTCAGGTAACTTGGGTTCATCTGCTATGAGAGAAACTCAGTCTGTCTAACCCTGGAGAGTTTTGGAGAAAATGATGGAGAACCAGGCGCCTCTTTGTTGGTTGAAGAGCATGGTATACACACTTAGAAACCTAACATGCCCAGCAGGGCATGATGACTATGATCCCCACACATTGGGAGGCCGAGGCAGGCGGGTCACAAGGTTAGGAGTTCAAGACCAGCCAGGAGTTCGAGACCAGCCTGGCCAACATGGTGAAACCCCATCTCTACTAAAAATACAAAAATTAGCCAGATGTGGTGGTGTATGCCTGTAATTCCAGCTACTAAGGAGACTGAGGCAGGAGAATTGCTTGAAGCCAGGAGGTGGAGGTTGCAGCGAGCCAAGATCGCACCACTGCATTCCAGCCTGGGCGACAGAGTGAGACTCTGTCTCAAAAAAAAAAAAAAAAAAAAAAAAAGGAAAAAGAAACCTAACATGCCCAACTTAGAGAACAGTGAGAGAAGAGAACGCAGGCAGGGAATGAACTGGAGGAAGGTTAAGAAACTATGACCCCGCAAAAAATCAAGTCCATGTGCCTGCAAACTCCCCCAGTGGGACACTTGGCCACATGAAATCAACAAGCAAGCCCGAGGCTATGAACAACTTTCTTTTCAACTCTTAATGGACAAAACCAAATCTTTATTTGTGATTCCTCCCTCCCCTCCCACCCTCTCACCCGATTTCCCGCAGAATATCTTGATGTCAGGACCGTTGTTGTAAGTCCAACACTCAGTGAGACCGAGAGAAGCTGGGGACCCCAGCCTCGCTGTGCCAAAAGCCAAAAGTTGCTGTGTTTCTGGTTCCTCACTGTGTGACTTGTGGGGATGTGGAGGGAAAAAGGAAGGGGTGACAAATGCAAGGAAGCAAGCACAGGAAAAAGGTGGTTTCCCTCCATGATGCCATCACCTTGAAAGCACGCATCCCAGATCTCACCACCACTGCCCTGTTTTCTTGTGATTGCCAAGCAAGTTCTCCAGTTTACCATCTCATCCTGTGGGCAGTTGTTATGTGCTCAGCACGCTGCTAGGTACACTAGCAGGGATCAGAGGGAGCAAAGTCAAACCTTGGCTTTTGCCCTTGAAGAGTTCAGTGTGGTTTCTCCAGCTGGGACAGCTGAATACAGCAATCAGAGAGATTCAGGTTGGAGTGGAGAGGCCAAGAGATGAATTCCTCAATACGTGGCTTGGAAACATAGGTGTTCAAGCATTTGGAAGCTGATCCTTCCCTCTCTTATTATACTAAAATAAATTCCAGATGGATGGAATATTTAAATGTAAAATAAACACAATCTTAACAGTAGTAGCAAAGCCACAAAGCATTAGCGTATAATCACAAAATAAAACAGTTTTTCTAAGACAGGCATGAATCCCAGAAGCAACAAGGGAAAAGGCTGAAAAAGTTAATGTCATATAAATTTTAAAATGTCTATTTAAAAAGCAAACCTTAAACAAAATCAAAAGAAAAGGCACATTTTTTTTTTTGCAGCAGCCATGGCAGAGGAATTTCTATAATATACAAATACTCTTGCAAATCAGTGGAAAAATGATGAATGCCTTCCCAACCCGAAAGAAGCAGAATTCACTAAAGAGAAAGTGAGAATTGCCAGTAGACACTTGACAAGATGCTGGAAAACAAAAGACATGCAGAATAAAACAGTATCGGGCAATTTTTCCACCTGCTAGACTGATAAATATTTGTAAAGATTTCTATTTCCGGTGTAGATGATAAAATGAGGGATAGGCACTTTTGATGTGAGTATAAAGTATAACAGTTTTGTAGAGAGAGTCAGTCATATTTATCATGCTTTAAAATGTTCATATCCTTTACCCAGCAATTCCACCTTTTCTAGAAACTTATTCCAAGGCAATCCAAATACAAATCTCTGAAGAGGCTAGATGCAGTGGCTCATGCCTATAATCCTAGCACTTTGGGAGGCTGGCAGGAGCATCACTTGAGCCCAGGAGTTTGAGACCAGCCTGGGCAACAAGGCGAAACCCCGTCTTTAGAAAAAACACAACGATTAGCTGGGCGTGGTGGCGTGTGCCTGTAGTCCTAGCTACTTGGGAGGCTGAGGTGGGAGAATCGCTTGAGCCTGGGAGGTTGAGGCTTCAGTGAGCCATGATTAAGCCATTGCACTCCAGCCCAGGCGACAGAGTAAGACCCTGTCTCAACAACAACAACAACAACAAACAATCTATACAGAGGCACAGAGATGACATTCATAATCAATGTTATGAGTCTAGGCTTGCTTTATGACAGGTTCTATGTACAATACTTTAGCATCATTGAATTCTCATGGCCACTAAAGCAATGTGTAGTTTACCTTGAATAACATGGGGGTGAGGGGTAATGAACCCTCCTCCTGCTGAAAATCCAAGTTTAACTTTTGACTTCCCCAAAACTTAACTGCTAATAGCCTACTGTTGACTGGAAGCTTTGCTGATAACATAAGCAGTCAATTAACTTATATTTTGTATGTTATATGTATTACATACTGTATTCTCAATGAAGTAAGCTAGAGAAAAGAAAATGTTACTAAGAGAATCATAAGGAAGAGAAAATATATTTCCTATTGATTAAGCAGAACTGAGTCTTCATAAAGGTCTTCATCCTCATCATCTTCACACTGAGTAGGCTGAGGAGGAAGAGGAAGGGGGGGTTGGTCTTGCTCTGTCAGGGTCAGCAGAGGCAGAAGAAAATCCAAGTGCAAATGAGCCCACGCAGTTCAAACCCGTGTTGTTCAAGGGCCAACTGTACTATTGTTAGTGTTCACTTTATAAATGATAAAACTGAGGCTTGGAAAGAAAAACATGCTCAAGGTCATTCCACTTGCAATGAGCAAACCCTGGTCAGTGCTTGCTCCAAAGCCTGTGCCTGTGGTTCTATCCCACGCATTGTTATTTGCAACAGCAAAATCTATAGGCAGGTCCAGGTTCATTAAGGTGGATGACGTAAATTGTGGCTCATCCAGACAAAGCAATAGTACCCAGCTATAGGAATGAAGGAAGTAAGGCCGGGCACAGTGACTCACGCCTGTAATCCCAGCACTTTAGGAGGCCGAGGCCAGTGGATCACCTGAGGTTGGGAGTTCGAGACCAGCCTGACCGACGTGGAGAAACCCCATCTCTACTAAAAATACAAAATTAGCTGGGCATGTTGGCGCATGCCTGTAATCCCAGCTACTAAGGAGGCTGACGCAGGAGAATTTCTTGAACCCGGGAGGTGGAGGTTGTAGTGAGCCGAGATTGTGCCATTGAACTCCAGCCTGGGCAACAAGAGCGAAACTCTGTCTCAAAGAAAAAAAAAAAAGGGAAAAAGAAATGAAGGAAGTAGATGTGTATATACTAGAGAGATCAACATGATATGTAGACAAAGAAAGCAAGATGGTCAAAATAGTGATTATTCTATTTTTGTTTAAAAATAATAATAATTAGTGATGGATGTGATTACCTCTGAATGCTTCATAATTAAAAAAATTTTAATTTGGAAATAATATTAAACTTTTAGAAAAGTGTGATAAGAAGCCAAGTCACTCCTGGTCCTGCCCCAGTGCTCAAAATTACAGCCTTCCTCTACCTTCTCTGCCTTCTCTGGATTCCCAGAGGAGATGCCTTCCCTCCTGTTCAGGAATAAGCCCTTACTTTTCGTCTTAATTAGATCCCTTCAGTTCAGCAGCCCCCACTCACCCTGCTGTTATTTAACCTTTTCCCTCCTATCCTGACTTCTTTCTCTCAACTTCAAAGATTTTCAGGTCCTTCACTGCTTCAAAACCTTACCTGCTAGCTACCTTCTTCCAGGAAGATCCTTAAAACCTTTGTCTTCTGTCACTCGCTCTTCCTCCTCACTCCTTCCCCAAACTTCTAGTCCCTGCCGCCCTAGGGCTTCCCCTCCAGCATGCCATTCAGTGACAATTCTTTTTTATTGAGACCGAGTCTGGCTCTGCCTCCCAGGCTGGAGTACAGTGGTGCAATCTGGGCTCACTGAAACCTCTGCCTCCTGGGTTCAAGTGATTCTCCTGCCTCAGCCTCCTGAGTAGCTGGGATTATAGCCATGCACCACCATGCCCAGCTAATTTTTGTATTTTTAGTAGAGACGAGGTTTTACCATGTTGGTCAGGCTTGTCTCAAACTCCTGACCTCAAGTGATCTGCTTGCCTCAGGCTCCCAAAGTGCTGGGATTACAGGCATGAGCCACCGCGCCCCGCTGAAAATTCTTTCTAAAATTCCCCGTGATCTCCCAATTGCCAAATTCTTCTTCGGTGCATGTTCGCTTGACCTGCCCTCAGCCTCACCCTCAGTGACACTGATGGCCTCTCTCTTCTCAGCATTCTTCTACTTGATTTTTCTGAATCTCTTACTCCAGGCAGACTCTTTGGCCAACTCTCTGACCATGACTACCCAGCTCCCTCCCCGAAGTCCTCCTTGGCCTGTTCTCTTATGTTGGTGCTCTGCAGTCCACACCCTCTATTGCTTCTACTGTGATTAAAAAAAAAAAAAATCCAGCCTGGCACTGTGGCTCACTCCTATAATCCCGGCACTTTGGGAGGCCAAGGTGGGTGGATCACTTGAGGTCAAGAGTTTGAGACCAGCCTGGCCAACATGGTGAACCTCCGTCTCTACCAAAAATACAAAAATTAGCCGGGAGTGGTGGTGCACCCCTACAGTCTCAGCTACTTGGGAGGCTGAGGTGGGACGATCACTTGGGCCCAGGAGGTGGAGGTTGCAGTGAGCTGAGATTGTGCCACTGCACTCCAGCCTGGGTGACAGAGCGGAACTCTGTCTCAAAAAAAAAAAAAAAAAAAAAAAAAACTCCAAGGCAGAGATCTTCCCATGGCTGTATCGGCTGCCTTGTTTTGATTTATAACTGTAGATTCTCTTCCATAAACTGAAAAGTTTGCAAAAATTACTGTTTCATGGCTTATCTAGGAATCATATCGAAAATGTTGCTGTTATTTTTAGTGTGGCACAATAACTTTGTATGCTGTATTTCAATCTAAATAGAATTTTCTTTTTTTTTTTTGAGACGGAGTTTCGCTCTTGTTGCCAGGCTGGAGTGCAGTGGTGTGAACTCGGCTCGCTGCAACATGCGCCTCCCGGGTTCAAGTGATTCTCCTGCCCCGGCCTCCTGAGTAGCTGGGATTACAGGCGCATGCCACCATGTCTGGTTAATAGAATTTTCTAATGTTAAAAAATGAAAATAAAATGCAAAGCCATGATTTGTGGTAGCCTCTTGCTCATCGAGGGGGAAGTGTAAACCTAAAGCCCTTTCTCATCCCTCCCTCTTTAGCTCCGTCTCTGCTGTCTCTTTTCCACTTTAACACACGGGGTGAGTCCCACACTAGCTAAACCACCCCTCTTCTTACAGGTCATACTGTTTCTATTTTTGTTTTTTTTTGTTTTTTTTTTCTGAGACAGAGTTTCTCTCTTGTTGCCCAGGCTGGAGTGCAATGGTGCGATCTCGGCTCACCACAATCTCCGCCTCCCGGATTCAAGCAATTCTTCTGCCTCAGGCTCCTGAGTAGCTGGGATTATAGGCACCCGCCACCACGCCCAGCTAATTTTGTATTTTTAGTAGAGATGGGGTTTCTCCATGTTGGTCAGGCTGGTCTCGAACTCCCAACCTCAGGTGATCTGCCTGCCTTGGCCTCCCAAAGTGCTGGGATTACAGGCGTGAGTCAACACACCTGGCCCATGCTGTTTCTTTATGTTCCTCCTCTGCCCCATCTGCTCCCTAGACTAAGAATTAATCTCTAGACTCTTCATCATCTGCAGTTACTTCCTCGTCTTGGAAGATTCCACTCAAGTGCCATGTTCTGCATGAAAACTCACCTGCCCCTCTACTCCGACTCCAAGCCCAGGCACAACTGGCTACTCTCCCCATTGCAGCCCCACCATTCCATATCAGGCCCTCTGTATCATCCTGCCTAGAACACTCTGTTGCCGTTTTCCTTTTTCTTTCTTTTCTTTCCTTTCCTTTTCTTTCCTTCCTTTCCTTCCTTTCTTTCTTCCTTTCTTCCCTTCCTTCCTTCCTTCTTTCTTTCTTTTCTTTTCTTTCTGACAGAGTCTTGCTCTGTCACCAGGCTGGAATACAGTGGCATGATCTCGTCGCACTGCAACCTCTGCCTCCTGGGTTCACGCCATTCTCCTGCCTCAGCCTCCTGAGTAGCTGGGATTACAGGCACGTGCCACCACACCCAGCTAATTTTTGTATTTTTAGTACAGACAGGGTTTCACCATGTTGGCCAGGATGGTCTCCATCTCCTGACCTTGTGATCCGCCTGCCTCAGCCTCCCAAAGTGCTGGGATTACAGGTGTGAGCCACTGCACCCGGCCCTATTGCAGTTTTCTGTGTACATGTTTGTCTTCCCCACCTGGATGCAGAAACCTGAGCTGAGTCTTCTGCTACAGTGGCCCACAGTTAGGTGCCACAAAAATCCAAAAGATACATTTTTATATTTTTTGACAAATGAAAAAAATATATCAGCCTAGGGCCGTGGCTCATGCCTGTAATTCCAGCACTTTGGGAGGCCAAGGTGGGAGTATTGCTTGATCCCAGGAGTGTGAGACCAGCCTGGGCAACTTAGCAAGATCCTGTTCCTTCCAAAAAAAGTATAAAAAATTGGCTGGGCGCAGTGGCTCATGCCTATAATCCCAGCACTTTGGGAGGCCGAGGTGGGTGGATCAGGAGTCATAAGTTCAGGAGTTCGTGGAGGCCAAGGTGGGTGGATCACGAGGTCAGAAGTTCATGTTCAGCCTGATCAACATGGTAAAATCCCGTCTCTACTAAAAATACAGAAAATTAGTCGGGCATAGTGATGTGTGCCTGTAATGCCAGTTACTTGGGAGGCTGAGGCGGGAAAATTGCTTGAATCTGGGAAGTGGAGGTTGCAGTGAGCCGAGCTTGTGCCATTGTACTCCAGCCTGGGCAACAAGAGCGAAACTCTGTCTCAGGAAAAAAAAACAAAACACATATATATATATAATTAGCTGGGCATAGTGATACACACCTGTAGTCCTAGATATTGCAGAGGCTGAGGTGGGAGAATCACCTGAGCTCAGGAAGCTGAGGTTGTAGTTAATCGTGATCACGCCACTGCACTCCAGTCTGGATGTTGGAGTGGGACCTTGTCTCAAAAAAAAAAAAAAAAAAAAAAGGAAAAAATATATCATTTGGCATCATGAACAAATGATATAGTAATAGTGTTTTTTGTGTGCTTCCTCGCACATTTGTGAGCCTGCCTTCCCCATGGCTGACCCACCCCGTTCTGACCTTCAGCCGCCACCCTTGTGGCTTGTTGACTCTGCTAGTTCAATCATGAGCATTGGTGGATGATCAGACACTGGTTGCCCAGCTGGCATCCACCCCCCTCTACCCTCACCTATAAACGACTGGATTTTCACATCCCAGCTCCCCACCCTAGTGCATTTCAGAATCAATTCAGGCCACCCTGTCAAACTCTCACTCAGTTTGGTAGAGGACAAGGTTCACTCCTGTGGATTAAGGAGGACCAAGAGAATCCACTGTAGGGGTTAGACCATGAGCAACAGTGGAAAGAAATTGGGCAAACGTCCTCACATCACATGCAGCTCTGTAAAGTGTATGTGTTCCTAATGCCTGGTGGACCCAACCATCAACGATAGGAGTTCATCCTTGTTGCTCCTTCCCACTCGGCCAGTGTCAGCATACATGTTTTCTCACGTGGCCACACTATATTTTTCATGCAATATGCAGTGTAGGGCCGGGCGCAATGGCTCATGCCTGTAATTCCAGCACTTTGGAAGGCCGAGGTGGGTGGATCACCTGAGGTCAGGAGTTGGAGAGCAGCCTGACCAATGTGGTGAAACCCTGTCTCTACTAAAAATACAAAAATTAACTGGGCATGGTGGCGTGCACCTGTAATCCCAGCTACTCAGGAGGCTGAGACAGGAGGATTGCTTGAACCCAGGAAGTGGAGGTTGCAGTGAGCTGAGATCACGCCATTGCACTCCAGCCTGGGCAACAGAGTGAGACTCCATCTCAAAAAACAAAACAAAACAATATGCAGTGTGCACTCATGAAAGTGAAAAACAGACTCAGCTGGATTTCTGAACATGGTAGGGCCTTGGCCTGATGCAAGGCGTGAGTCACAGCTTCGCTTCCTTTGTGTCCTCACAGGACATCAGGGAAGGACCCGGTATGCCTCATCAGGGGCCTCTCCACTCCTTCCAGTCTCCTGGGGCTCCCTGGAGGGAGGGGAAAGGACTGATTTGGAGCAGGGAAGGGCCATGGGGCTTTTCGGTCAATGAGGCACAGCATTGTCTCTGGATTATACAGAATTTCCAGAGAAATGCACAGGAAAAGAGAAGAGTAGAAAAGTGAGAGGATTTCAGTCTCTGATTTTAGGAGGAAGCTGCTGACTTTATATCCCTAAGGCTGGCTCTTCCTGGGCTAATCTCTCTCTGACCCTCTGCTCTCTAAAGCTCAAATTACTTCTTTGAAAATGTGTGTTGGAGTGTGATGGGGGGAGAGAAACATAGAAGAAAGTTAAGCTGCAGAATATAACTGTCAAACTGGGTGTGTACCATAACATAATGTGGCAAAGGGTGCAAAGCTGCTTCATCACTGTGGTGGGATGTGGCCTTTTCTGAGCTGTTGCCAAAAATGGGTAAGGGAGTTAAAGGTTGGTTACATCTTTATATATTTTTAGAAAATCACCATAAAAGGGTTGACTTTAGCCCACTGTAATTCTCACTGGGCTCAGACTCCAGATTTTGCAGGTATGGTCTTTGCGGCTTAGTTCTCTTCTCCCATCTACTGACATTTTCTTCTAGAATAAAATATTTGCTTTGATCTGTCACAATGTTAAGTACTTTCACTTGTTCTCACTGACATCTTTCAAATAATTCAGGTGATTACATCACAGCAGGGCTACCCCTGAGGTGTGTGAGCCCCAGCAAGTAGTTTTTGGTGAGGCTCCTGTCTATGTAAACCATGTAATGAAAAAAATGTCGGGCCGGGTGTGGTGGCTCACGCCTGTAATCCCAGCACTTTGGGAGGCCAAGGAGGGCAGATCACAAGGTCAGGAGTTCGAGACCAGCCTGACCAACATGGTGAAACCCTGTCTCTACTAAAAATACAAAAAATTAGCAGGGCGTGATGGCATGCGCCTGTAGTCCCAGCTACTCAGGAGGCTGAGGCAGGAGAATCGCTTGAACCCGGGAGGCAGAGTTTGCAGTGAGCGGAGATCATGCCACTGAACTCCAGCCTGATGACAGAGTGAGACTCTGTCTCAAAAACAAAAAACAAAAACAAAAAAAATGTTCAAACATAGGTGAGAACAGGTGCACAGGCTGCATTGGAACTCAAGCTCAAGGCTCAGTAGCCAATCCTTGATCTTACCCTTTGCTCTAAGAACCACCCCAAATCAGGTGTCAGTACCATGTTGCGGTACAACAGTGCACGAGAGAAATGCTGCACCAGCCAGGGGAAGCTCTCTTCTCTGGGTGCCCTCCTGGAACCAGGGCCCCGCCATAGGTTGGGCCAGGATGACCCAACAGACACAAGCCCCGGAGCTTCTTGGTGCATCTGGTCGACCCTCTGAGGGCGGCGGAGCACCTCGGGACCTGGTCTGTGTCCCTGGCACCCCGCTGAGACAGCATTGCCAGCGCTGGCTGGTTCCAGCCAAAGGAAGGGTCTTAGAACATTTTGAAGAAACAATTCAAAAAGCACAAGGCTTCCTGAGGCGTGAGGCCGAGCTGGGACTAAGGACTCTGCTACATCCGAGTTTTCTCCTTCCACTTAAAAATTGTGTTTCTGATTATAAAAATCCAAAATCTGTATATAAGAGAACATTTTAAAATTGCAAAAAATTTCCGGGAATGCCACAACTAAATATTAACAGTTCATTATTAATTCAAGTATTAAATGACTCCTCCATGTGAGGCACTGTGCTGGGGGCTGTGACTAGAACTGCATGTAAGACAGACACAGTCCCTTACCTCTATGAAGCTTACGCTCCAGCAGGTTGGTTATATTTCTAATTATGAATTTAAAAATTTTTAATTATAACATTTACTTACGTTTCAAATTCAAGAGGTACAAAAAAGTACACAATAAAAAAATTTTGGCCAGGTGCAGCGGCTCACGCCTGAAATCCCAGCATTTTGGGAGGCTGAGGCAGGCAGATCATTTGAGATCGGGAGTTTGAGACCAGCCTGGCCAACATGGTGAAATCCCTTCTCTACTAAAAATACAAAAAAATGAGCCAGGCATGGTGGCGCGTGCCTGTAATCCCAGCTACTCAGGAGTCTGAGGCAAGGGAATCGCTTGAACCCAGGAGGCAGAGGTTGCAGTGAGCCGAGGTCACTCCACTGCACTCCAGCCTGGGCAACAGAGTGAGACCCTCTCTCAAAAAAAAAAAGACAAAAAAATTTCACCCACCCCTTTTCTCTCCCAAAACATAATTACATTTATGTATATGATAAAGTACACTGGAAAGAAGGCATATTTCTTCTGACCCCTTTTATTCATTTTATTCTATTATTTTTTTCCAGTGAAAAAATATATATATAACTAAGTCTGGCTGGCTAATTCTAAAGATATATATATGTGTGTGTGTGTGTGTTCCGTCTGACCCACTTTTATATATCTCTCTCTTATATATATAAATATCTATCTATCTATCTTTAGAATTAGCCAGCCAGACTTAGTTTAGATTATCCCAATTTTGCTGACAATACCCAAAGCATTGTAATTAGGATCCAGGTAAACATACGCCTTCTTCTCTCCATCAGCCTGATCGGGGTGTGGACTTTGACCACACTAGTATTAGTGAGCTTTCTCGCAGCCTGCTTGATCTGACGCTTGTTGGCTTTAACATCCACAATGTACACAAGTGTGTTGTCTTCTCTCTTCTTCATGGCTGACTCAGTGGTCTGCGGGAATTTGATGATGGCACAGTGGTCAGGCCTGCTCCTCCTGGAGGTGCTTGTCTGAGGATATCTGGGCTGTCTTCGGGAGGTGCAGTGTCTGGCCGCAGGAAGGTGGGTGACATGTGGATGTTCCTTTTTGTGTGTGGCTGTGGATGGCTTTCAGCACTGCCTTCTTGGCCTTCAAAGCCTTCGCTTTGGCTTCGGCTTTAGGAGGGGGCAGGAGCTTCCTTCTTTGCCTTCTGTGCCATCTTGCACAAAGGACCCCCTTTTATTTATTTATTATTATTATTTTTAGATGGAGTCTCACTCTGTTGCCCAGGCTGGAGTGCAGTGGTGCGATCTCGGCTCACTGCAACCTCTGCCTCCCGGATTCAAGTGATTCTCCTGCCTCAGCCCTCCGAGCTGAGTAGCTGGGACTACAGGCACCATCACCCCCGGCTAATTTTTTTGTATTTTTGGTAGAGACGAGGTGTCACCATATTGGCCAGGCTGGTCTCAAACTCCTGACCTCGTGGTCTGCCCACCTCAGCCTCCCAAAGTGCTGGGATTACAGGCGTGAGCCACCATGCCCTGCCATTTTTATTTATTTTTGAGACGGAGTCTTACTCTATCGCCCAAGCTGGAGTACAGTGACACAATCTTGGCTCACTGCAAACTCCGTCTCCCGGTTCAAGCAATTCTCTGCCTCAGCCTCCCCAGTAGCTGGCATTACAGGTGCCCACCACCATGCCTGGCTAATTTTTGTATTTTTAGTAGAGACAGGATTTCACCATCTTGGCCAGCCTGGTCTTGAACTCCTGACCTCGTGATCCACCCGCCTTGGCCTCTCAAAATGCTGGGATTACAGGCATAAGCCATCACACCTGGCCAGGACTCCCTTTTATTTAAAGCAAATAGTAGCTGATAGGGTTTGGATCTGTGTCCCTGCCCAAACCTCATGTTAAAATACACTCCCCAGTGTTGGAGATGAGGCCTGGCAGGAGGTGACTGGATAGTGGGAATGGATTTCTCATGAATGGTTTAGTACCATACCCTTGATGCTGTCCTTGTGACAGTAAGTGGGTTCTGGTGGAGATCTGTGTGTTTACAAGTATGTGGCACTGCCCCCATCTCTTGCTCCTGCTTTCGCCATGTGGCCTGCCCCACTCCTCCTTTGCCTTCTACCATGATTGGAAGCTTCCTGAGACATCACCAGAAGCTGAGCAGATGCCAGTATCATGCTTCCTGTTCAGCCTGTGGAACTCTGAACCAATTAAACCTCTTTTCTTTATAAGTTACTCAGTCTCAGGTATTTTTTTTTTTTTTTTTCTGAGATGGAGTCTTGCTCTGTCGCCCAGGCTGGAGTGCAGTGGCGGGATCTCAGCTCACTGCAACCTCTGCCTCCCAGGTTCAAGCGATTCTCCTGCCTCAGCCTCCTGAGTAGTTGGTACTACAGGTGCGTGCCACCACGTCCGGCTAATTTTTGTATTTTTAGTAGAGATGAGGTTTCACCATGTTGGCCAGGCTGGTCTCCAACTCCTGACCTCAAGTGATCCACCCTCCTCGGCC
This sequence comes from Homo sapiens, assembly GCF_000001405.40. Lineage (NCBI taxonomy): Eukaryota > Metazoa > Chordata > Mammalia > Primates > Hominidae > Homo > Homo sapiens. Next base: position 241,914,775 of record NC_000001.11, on the reverse strand, counting down.
TCCCAAAGTGCTGGGATTACAGGCGTGAGCCACTGTGTTCGACCTCAAGTATTTTTTTTTTATACCAATTCAACAACGCACTAATACAGTAGCATAGAAAATACAAACCACTTAATATATATGCATCTAAGTTTTTTCACTCAAAATATACTTTGGAGATTGTTCCAAAAGTTCAAGAAGAGTTTCCTCTTTCTCTCTTTTAGTTCCATAATATTTAGGCGAATATCATAATTATTTAACAAGTTCTCCCTGATAGATGTTTTAAATTGACTTTCAAACTTTTTCACACAAAATTGTATTAGTAAGCTCACACATGTTATCTTCAAATGTATGAGCATATCATAAAATACCCATATAAATAGAATTGCTGCATACAAGGGTATGTGAATTCATAATTTTGATAGGTATTGCCAAATTGTTTTTAATGGAGCTTTTACCAAATAACACTTCAGCCAGCAATGTATGAGCAAGGTTAGTGATACTTTGATGTGTTCCCTTCCATGCTAATTTTTCTTTGACAATCTTAGGCTCATGTAGCACTTACTGTCTTATTTTTTTTCTTTGCAAAATTATTTTATTCTCCAAGTAGAAAAAAGTGGTCATGTCTTTCCACAAATGTTGAAACCTACACTAAAGCCACCTAAGGTTATAAAAAGCTAAGCTCTGTTATAGCTTTCTTTTATATTCCGTTTTCACATATTGGAACCTACTGCATCCAAATATTTAGTAACCAGGACTTCATCGGCTAACCAATCATATTTCTGCTCAGAGTCTTCAGGCCATGGTCATAGCCCTGGCCACTTGTCTTTGCATTAGACCGAAGGAAATAGCAGATGTCAGCAGCAGAGCAACAGCAAGAGTGAGAGAACCTCTGCTGCGTTGGATACATCATTTCCTATCCTTAGAATGATCTACTTCTTGGAGAAAATTAGATTTGAAACTTGGAGAAAAGGGAGATGCTGTTTAAAATGTAGTGACATAGGCCGGGTGTGGTGGCTCACGCCTCTCATCCCAGCACTTCTGGAGGTGGGCAGATCACGAGGTCAGGAGATGGAGACCATCCTGGCTAACACGGTGAAATCCTGTCTCCACTAAAAATACAAAAACAAAATTAGCCGGGTGTGGTGGCGGGCGCCTGTAGTCCCAGCTACTCAGGAGGCTGAGGTGGGAGAATGGCGTGAACCCGGGAGGTGGAGCTTGCAGTGAGCAGAGATTGTGCCACTGCACTCCAGCCTGGGCGAGACAGGGAGACTCCATCTTAAAAAATAATAATAATAAAAAAATAAAATGTAGCGACATAACATGTCACAAGAATAGAGAAAAAAATTAAGCAAAATGCAGTGATAAGCACCTTTCACTTAACTTTGCTCAGACCTAGACACACACTTGCACACACGTGTATGCACACACACACACTTCCTAGGAAAACAATGCTGCCTTCATTTTTATTTTATTTTTTGAATACAAAATGCTCAGGAATATCACTTCCCCATAAATAATTCCCTAAATTCTTTTTTTTTTTTTTGTTAGATGGAGTTTTGCTCTTGTTGCCCAGACTGGAGTGCAATGGCACGATAGCTCACTGCAGCCTCCATCTCCAGGGTTCAAGCAATCCTCCTGCCTTAGCCCCCTGAGTAGCTGGGATTACAAGCACCACCACTGTGCCCGGCTAATTTTTTGTTTGTTTGTTTTCTGTTTCTTGAAATGAAGTCTTGCTCTGTCGCCCAGGCTGGAGTGCAATGGCATGATCTCAGCTCACTGCAACCTCCGCCTCCCAGGTTCAGCGATTTTCCTGTCTCAGCCTCCCGAGTAGCTGGGATTACAGGTGTGTGACACCACACCCAGCTAATTTTTTGTGTTTTTAGTAGAGACAGGGTTTCACCATTTTGGTCAGGCCGGTCTCGAACTCCTGGCCTCAAGTGGTCCGCTCGCCTTGGCCTCCCAAAGTGCTGGGATTACAGGCAGGAGTCATCGTGCCCAGCCCCTAAATTCTTTAAATTACATAATTTTAAAGAGGCTTTTTAAAAGAGTGGTTTTGTGTTGACAGCAATGTTGAGCAGAAGGTACAGAGATTTCCCACATAGTCCCTATCCCCACACATGCAGCCTCTCCCACTACCAACATCCCTCACCAGAAGGGACATTTGTTAGAACCTGTGAACCAACATTGACACATCATTATCACCCCGAGTCCAGAGTTTACAATAGGATTCACTCTTGGTGTGTACATTCTCTGAGTTTGGACACAGGTCTGATGACATGTATAGCATATATACCGTTTGTAACTTACTTTTTCTTATTTAATGTATCAAAATTATTTTACCATGCCATTACATAGTCTTCTTCAACATAATTTTTAGTGGCTTATAACTTATTCCATTATATAATTAACACATCATTTATTTAACCAATCCACTATTGTTTTGGAGGGTTTTTTAATTTTAATTTTTATGTATTTATTTTTGAGATGGAGTCTCACTCTGTTGCCCAGGCTGGAATGCAGTGGCATGATCCCAGCTCACTGTAACCTCCTCCTCCTGGGTTCAAGCAATTCTCCTGCCTCAGCCTCCCGAGTAGCTGGGATTACAGGCGCCAGCCACCGTGCCCACTTAATTTTGTATTTTTAGTAGAGACGGGGTTTCACCACGTTGGCCAGGCTGGTCTCAAACTCCTGACCTGAAGTGATCCTCCCACCTTGGCCTCCCAAACTTCTGACCTCAAGTGATCTGCCCACCTCCGCCTCCCAAAGGCGTGAGCCACGGTGCCCAGCCTGATTATTATTTTAAGAGCTGTGAAATTAGTATAATATGTATGGCTTCACTGAATGTTCTCAATAGATTCTAGAAAAGTGTAGCTTTAAGAAAAATGACATATAGCAGGTCCTCAAATCTTGTTTCATAATAACATCGTTTATGAAGAAAAACAATGGTTTCGTTATAAGTCATTTTGCTGAAAGTCGCAGTTTCCAAGAACCTATCAATGATGTTAAGTGAGGGCTTACCGTATTACCTGGGACAAATAGATAATTTTCTACTCACACCTCTCACAACAACCACATATGAAGTATATTTTTAGATTCCTTATTATTTGCAAGAAATAGTGCTATGTGTGATACAAGAAACAAAGCTAAATTATATGTAAAGGAATTTATATTCTCTTTGGAAAGACAGTATTTACAAATTTAAAGAAAGGGGAACTTTTACCTTTAGTATCTTATTTGACTTTCACACCGACTGTGTGTAATAGGTGGAAATGATCAGAATTGCGGAAACACAAACACTTTCTTGGCCTCTAACTGACATTGGATTGATCCAACACTTAATAGAAATGAAAAAAATGTAGAAAGATGACAAGGGGGACCTTCCATTTTTGATGACAGCAAGCTGTTATTTGGACCACATTCCTATGGGAAGACAAGTTAAAATGAGAGAGTATGGAAAAGTTCTTTAAAGCATATAAAAATAGAGTTTGAAATTTGGAGGTCAAGAAACAAGAGAAAGTGGGAAGAGCACAGTCCACTCTTGCACTGAGAGCATCTGCAGATCTGCCTGGAGGCAGCTGGGAAACTGAGCTGAGACTCAGAAGGATGGGCAGAACCAGAAGTATACCCAGACCTCTTTTCCTGTACCCTCTTGAATGGGAAGAATTTGGGGTTGAGTGGGGAAGAAGGCTGATCCCCAAACTTGAAAAACAAATGCTGTCCCTGGTGAGTGCTCACAGCCCAAATTCACAGTATTAGGTATAAGAGACATGTTTACTTAAACATGGTTACAGATTCCTAGTACCCAGGTGTTTGGCAGTTGTAAATGCAAAACCTCTCTGGATAAAGGCATCTTCATCCCAGGCCTCTGAAAGACCGCACGAATAAATTTTCAAGGGCAAAGATAGCACTAAATCAAAGATAAATTAGTACAACAAAAAAATAAGATGCAATGAACAAGAACTAACAAAAACCCAGCAGATAACAGACCCCCCCCACAAGACTTCATATGCTAGAATTATTACAAACAGATTATATGTAATTATTATTATTTGAAACATATGACAGGCTTTAAAAAAATTCTTGGTGAATGGGAGATGATGACATGTGATATAACAGATTTGTAAATGAACCAAATAAAAATTCTACCCATGAAAAAATAAAATAACCCAAATTAATAACTCAGCAAAATGAAGTTTTAAAGCAGATTGAATACAGAAGATAAAAATAACAGATTTGGAAGGTAGGCCAGAAGATATTATATAGAATGAGAGAGAGAAAGATGGAGAACAGGAAAGAGAGAATAAGAGACTTGGAGAACAGAATTGGAAGGTTCCAGAAGGAGAGGAACCTTCCAATTGAAATATCGCATTGGCAGAGGCGATATTTCAAGGGATAATGTCGGAGAGTTCTACAGAAAGGGTGGACAGCACTTATTTATTTATTTATTTATTTATTTATTTATTTATTTATTTTTATTATTTTTTTGAGACAGAGTTTCGTTCTTGTTGCCCAGGCTGGAGTGCAATGGCGCGATCTCAGCTCACTGCAACCTCCACCTCCCGGGTTCAAGCGATTCTCCTGCCTCAGCCTCCCGAGTAGCTGGGATCACAGGCCTGTGCCACCACACTTGGCTAACTTTGTATTTTTAGTAGAGGCCAGGTTTCTCCATGTTGGTCAGGCTGGTCTCGAACTCCCGACCTCAGGTGATCCGCCCGCCTCAGTCTCCTAAAGTGCTGGGAATACAGGCATGAGGCACCACACCTGGCCCACAGCACTAATTTACAGATTCAAGAGACCCAATGAATGCCAAGAAAGATAAATGAAAAGTAAATCATACCAAAAAAATCACAATAAAACTGTAGATAATCAAAGACAAAGGATATGTTAAAATATTGAGGGAGAGGGAGGAAGAGAGAAATAGCGGGGGCGGGTAGAGAGAGAGATGGAGAGAGAGAAATAGAGAAATGAAGAGAAAGAGGAGAGAGGGAGGGAGAGAAAGAAGAGAGAGACAGGAGACAGATGGGGAGAAAGAGAGGAGAGGAGAGATGGAGAGAAAGAGAGGAAGAGAGAGATTACCTTCAAAGCATCCATGATGGCCGGGCGCAGTGGCTCATGCCTGTAATCCCAGCACTTTGGGAGGCCATGGTGGGTGGATCGCTTGAGGTCAGGAGTTTGAGACCAGCCTGGCCACCATGGTGAAACCCCGTCTCTACTAAAAATACAAAAATTAGCCAGGCATGGTGGCGTGTGCCTGTAGTCCCAGCTACTTTGGAGGCTGAGGCAGGAGAACCACTTGAACCAGGGAGGCGGAGGCCGCAGTGAGCCAAGATCTCACCACTGTACTCCATCCTGGGTAACAGAGCTCAAAAAGCAAAGCAAAACAAAACAAAACAAAACAAAGCAGCCATGGCTACGCAAATAGAATACAGAAAGACCCGTTAATACACTGAAAGAAAGTAATTGCAAAGCTAAAATTCTATACTGAATAAAAAGATCTGTAAGAATGAAGGTAAATAAAGACATTTTCAGACAAAGAAAAAAACGAGTTCATTCCCAGCAAATCTCAAAAAAAAATAATAAAGAAAATAGTACACTTATGGATAGCTCTATATGAATTCTGATTTCATCAGGCAGTAAAATTAATGTCTGGTGGAACTTAAAAAATATTTAAATACTTTGTGACAATAAAACACACAAGCTGGAGCAAATGGGAAGGTACTGGTCATTTACCTGCTTTTTTCCTCTGCTCCCTTCTGTGCACTGCTAATTACTGAGAGGGCTGGGGCACTGCCTGCTGCATCTCTTAGATTCCCTTTGCCACCTGGTGTCAGTCTTTTGGTCTCCTTTTAGCCACAGCAGTGCAGTGATGGAAGGTTGAGAGGACGGAAGGAGAGAAGCACTTTCAGATTCCGTGGATATCCCTAAAATAAATGCAACAACAGGCGCTGGCTTGGAGGCTACAGCCCTTTTTTCCATACCTTAATCTTTTTTTTTTTTTTTGAGACGGAGTCTCGCTCTGTCACCCAGGCTGGAGTGCAGTGATCTCAGCTCACTGCAACCTCCGCCTCCCAGGTTCAACTAATTCTCCTGCCTCAGCCTCCTGAGTAGCTGGGATTACAGGCACCTGCCACCACCACACCTGGCTAATTTTTTGTATTTTTAGTAGAGATGGGGTTTCACCATGTTGGTCGGGCTGGTCTCGAACTCCTGATGTCGTGATCCACCCACCTGGGCCTCCCAAAGTGCGGGGATTACAAGTGTGAGCCACCATGCCCAGCCCATATCTTAATCTTTCTCTCTGTCCTTCTCTTTCTGATCTCTGGGTATCCCTCTTTACCCCCTTTTGTCTTTCAGCTACCCCATATTCTGTTTTGCTCCTCCAGCTTTTCAACATCTTATAACAAATTCCCTGCATTAAATGCCCCTGATTGTCATACCTAGAGTGGTTTCTGTGTCCTCGCTGCCTTGTGATTCTGTGCAGCTCTTTCAGGGGGCTTCTCCACATCCCTGCTTCCTGGACCATCCTCACCTCCTCCCTAGGCCTGCAGCCTCATGTGCAGCACCTCCGTCTTGTCCTCACTCACCTGCTCCTGGTCTCCAAACAGCATTTGTAGTTCTGTAGCAGAGAGGAGTGCCCAGACGCTCCAGAAGGTCACACGTGTGCTCCTCACACAGGGGTCTTTCTGAACTAAGAGGATACAAAAAGGGTCCCCAGTGTTCTTCAGGTTTCTCTGAAGGAAACCTCTTCAATCAGGATAGAACTACTGGGGCATTCTTTTTATTTTTGAGACAGTCTCGCTCTGTCGCTAAGCTGGAGCGCAGTGGCCCGATCTCGGCTCACTGCAACCTCCGCCTCCTGGGTTCAAGAGATTCTTTTGCCTCAGCCTCTGGAGTAGGTGGGATTACAGGTGTGTGTCACCACACCTGACTAATGTTTGTATTTTTAGTAGAGACAGGGTTTCATCATTTTGGCCAGGCTGGTCTCGAACTCCTGACCTCTAGTGATCGGCCCGCCGAGGCCTCCCAAAGTGCTGGGATTACAGGCATGAGCCACCGCACCCGGCCTGAACTATTGGGACATTCTGTAGCCAGTATCCCACATTTGGGGGAGGGGCCATAGGGATCCCTTCCTGTAGCCAATCAGCACTTTGCCTTCCTCCTAGGCTTCACCTGAGCTGTGGGGGGACAATGGAACTGCAGTGCCCTGGGTAGTGCCAGAGTCCAGCGTCTCCATAAACTTGTCCTGTTTTGGGGACTGGTACTGCCCCCAGTGAATCCCACAGAGGACACAGAGCTGAGGCTTGGAGCCTCATCTCCACTCCAAAGCTCCTCCAGCTCCTCAGCTCCTCATCTTTTTATGCTCTCTTAAGCTTCTTCTAGAACATCATAGCTCTAGAATGCAAATCTCATTTTATCGCTCTCTTCCTTAAGACCTTCCAATGACCTGTTTCCATATTTTCATATAACATCTTCAGGAATGTACAGACAGTCGCCTTTCTAAAAAGGAAATAAAAAACTTCCAATGGCTTTCTCAGGCAGAGCGATCTTTCTAAAATGGAAATGAGACCACAGCACCCTCAACTATAAATACATATTGTGAGTTTTTGTTGTTGTTGTTGTTTTTGTGGGGGGACAGAGTTTCCCTCTTGTCGCCCACGCTGGAGTGCAATGACGCAATCTCATTCACTGCAACCTCTGCCTCTCAGATTCAAGCGATTCTCCTGCCTCAGCCTCCCAAGTAGCTGGGATCACAGGCACCTGCCACCATGCCTGACTAATTTTGTATTTTTAGTAGAGACGGGGTTTCACCATGTTGCCCAGGCTGGTCTCAAACTCTTGACCTCAAGTTATCCACCTGCCTTGTCCTCCCAAAGGATTGGGATTACAGGGGTGAGCCACTGCACCCGGCCCTAAATTAGGTTTTCAATCTTGTCTGCCTATTAAGCTAGGTTATAGTTCATCCACAAGGATTCAAATATAAAAGTATGAAGTCCTTCTCAGGCCATATTTAGTTTGCTTTAACAATATATGTGAAAGAAAGAAGCATTTACTGTCCCTTCCATTCTTCTCAGGATAAAGTCCCCTCTTCCTAACTGTCTCTCAAGGTCCTTACGCCCCTCCGGCCTCGTATGTCACTGCTCCTTATCTGTTTCACTTCTCAAAGCTCCAGCCACACCAAAATTATTATAGCTCTTCAAACAATCCATCCTGTTTGCTGTGCCTAGAATATTCTTCCTTGTCTTCTTGGTCTGGCTAATTATTTCTCACCATATATTTGCTTAGAGGTCACTTCCTTCAGGAGTTATTCCTGGACTTCAAATCTGAGTTAGATGCCTTAAGTGCTGTCTAGAGTACTGTATGCCCCTATCACATCGCATGGGAATGTGCTCACCTATTGTGACCATACAATAGAAACCTGCTTTTTTTTTTTTTTTTTTTGAGACAGGGTCTCACTTTGTCAGTCAGGCTGGAGTGCAGTGCCTCAATCTTGGCTCACTGTAGCCTCCATCTCCCCAGCTCAAACGATTCTCCTGCCTCAAGCCTCGCAAGCAGATGGGATTAGTCACGTGCCACCATGCCCAGCTAATTTTTGTATTTTTAGTAGAGATGGGGTTTCGCCACGTTGGACAGACTGGTCTCAAACTCCTGACCTCAGGTGATCCGCCCACCTCGACCTCCTAAAAGTGCTGGGATTACAGGCGTGGCCCACCGTGCCCAGCCAAAACCTGTTTAATGAATGAAATAAAGTTTGGAAATGTGTATTTTACTATGAATCTATGGTATGCCACTTTCTACATAACATTGACATGTGTACATATATAAATTGTGTGTGTGGGGGTGTGTGTGTGTGTAGGTAAGTACTATATTGGGCGCACACTTACTCTAGAGCAGAAACCTTCTGAATCTGGTCTCTGAGGATGTTGAGGTGGGTCACAGGGTAAGGACTAAACCTCTGTACACCTCATAAGAACAGAGTAAGTTCTGCCTAAACAGCCATACTTACCAAGGGAACAGAGTCAAGGAACATAGTGAGGGTGGAGAGTCATGGGGCATTCTCCTGAGTCCAGCCAGAAGCAGAGTGAATGTTCAGGAAGACTGACCAGCCAAGTTTATTATTATTATTATTATTATTATTATTATTATTATTATTATTAGATGGAGTCTCACTCCATCTAATAATCGTATCACTGCACTCCAGCCTGGGCAACAGAGTGAGACTACATCTCAAAAAAAAAAAAAAGAAAAAAAATGGTATCGGGCACGTCCAGAGCCAAGGTCACAAGAGAACTTGCACCCTCCACTTTTGCCCCCTTGGAATGCAGCCCTGAAACCACCATATAAGGAGCTGTTCTAGCCTACTGGAGGATGAGAGCCATATTCGGGGCTCCTGCCCACACGCAGGGGGTGAAATCAAACTCCTCAAGGACCTGCCCACATCTACCACAGAAGACAGTAAAATAGATCTCCACCTCATCACATGAAACCATCACACAGGTTAACTAACCATTTCTTGCTCAAAAAAAAGTTAGTACTTAAAAAATTTCCAAGAGCAATCAAAACTTTTCTTCTCAAGAAACAGCATAAAAAGAGAAACCAAGCAGGAAACGGCCTCAGTGTCCTTTGCTGAGGCTCTCTCTCTAGGCCATCCTTACTACCCTGCGCCCCTCCCGGGTTCACGCCATTCTCCTGCCTCAGCCTCCCGAGTAGCTGAGACTACAGGCGCCCGCCACCACGCCCGGCTAATTTTTTTTGTATTTTTAGTAGAGACGGGGTTTCACCGTGTTAGCCAGGATGGTCTCGATCTCCTGACCTCATGATCCGCCTGCCTCGGGCTCCCAAAGTGCTGGGATTATAGGCGTGAGCCACCGTGCCTGGCCCAGGCTCTCATTTTTTTAAGGTTGGTGAGTCCCCAAGAGTAAAAACTCTGCAGTTTGGCAGATATTTATGTGCATAGTCCAGCACAGTGGCTGATACATAATGGATGCTTCTTAATGCTTTCTAATTATGCTAATTAGAGATTATTAACTATTTCTAAATGAATTAATGTAGAAATTCATCTTACTGGGCTGAAGAATGGGGAGTGCATGGAGTTTGGGGTGCACCTATTGGGAACAAAGGGGTAAGTTGTATTAAGACTCACTTTTCGGTGAAGCCACTAGAGCCCCCACAGCATCTGGAGTCTGACGGGAATTGGGATCTAAGCCTGACTGGTTTTCCCTTAGTCGTCCTTAGTCTGCACTGCATTAACCTTAGCAGTTCTGAGAATGCAGAGTGTTCTAAAAGAGTTCATTAAAATATTGTAATAGATGCTCTGAAGAAACTGTCTGCATCAGCCAAAACCTTCGAGAGGTTGTGTCCAGTTCAGGAAGACTGACCAGCCAAGTTTATTATTATTATTATTATTAGATGGAGTCTCACTCTGTCACCCAGGCCGGAGTGCAGTGGCATGATCTTGGCTTACTGCAACCTCTGCCTCCCAGGTTCAAGTGATTCTTGTGCCTCAGCCTCTGAGTAGATGGGACTACAGGTGCATGCCAACATGCCCAGCTAATTTTTGTATTTTTAGTAGAGACGGGGTTTTGCCATGTTGTCCAGGCTGGTCTTGAACTCCTGACCTCAAGTGATCTGCCTGCCTCAGCCTCCCAAAGTGCTGGGATTATAGGTGTGAGCCACTACGCCCAGCTGAGCCAAGTTTATTTACTGAGCCCCTATCAGCTATTTTGAGTTCCATATCATTTTTATTGAGTTCAGCTGGCAGGTGACAACTTCAATCCCTTCAGCTTTATCTGTTAAGTTAGCAGCATTTGGCTTGCCTTGTGTTGTCCTGTGTAGGCGGAAGCTGGGTGAGGGAAAGGCCTGGTTCCTCTGCTCGGTGATTCTCGCAGGTGGACTAAACGTTTCCTACTGAAAATTCCCTCCCTGACATCAGAGGGAAAGAACCACTTAGGGGCAAAATGCTGTCAGTGGGCTTTACAAATACCTGGAAACAAAGTTATCTGGACTAGTTTCCAAAGGTTATTTTGGGAACTTATTACAGAAATTTAATAATTGAAATACAGTACCAGTAAAACGTTAAAATAACACAGAGAACCTGCTGTTACAGCAACATTGGGAGCTCTCACTTTCTCTTTTTTTTTTTTTTTTTGAGATAGAGTCTCACACTGCTGCCTAGGCTGGAGTGCAGTGGCATGATCAAAACCCACTGCAGCCCCCACCTTCCGGGCTCAAGTGACCCTCCCACCTCAGCCTCGTGCGCACGTACACTGTGTCACCTATGGAACGGTGGTGAGGACCTAGACCATGGTCAGCTCCTGTGGGACCAGGAACTTTGTTTTCGTCCAGCAGTGGCAGGAACGTCTCTCTGGGGGTAGCGCTCCACTATCACCTGTCAAGAATTTCAGCATAAATTTCTTCTGAAACAAGTGCCTAAGAATGTGACTCAGAGTTCTACATGTCTTAGGAATTCAGAACAGAGAGAAGGCCATTGGTTGCTTTTTGTTTTTTCCAAGAATAGGATCAGAGGTCCCCCTAACAGAAGTCCAATGGTGTCCCCCCAACAGAAGTCCAATGGTGTCCCCCCAAGAGAAGTCCAATGGTGTCCCCCCAACAGAAGTCCAATGGTGTCCCCCCAACAGAAGTCCAATGGTGTCCCCCCAACAGAAGTCCAATGGTGTCCCCCTAACAGAAGTCCAATGGTGTCCCTCTAACAGAAGTCCAACGGTGTCCCCCTAACAGAAGTCCAACGGTGTCCCCCTAACAGAAGTCCAGTGGTGTCCCCCTAACAGAAGTCCAGTGGTGTCCCCCTAACAGAAGTCCAGTGGTGTCCCCCTAATAGAAGTCCAATGGTGTCTCACTGGGATCTTCTTTGGGAACTTTGCCCAGATTCCAGCAACTTCCTCTTGTCTGGTTGCTGTGACGATTTCAAGTATAAAAGAATAAGCAAATGGCAAGGCAAGCCATAGCTGCTCTTCTTTTATTCCCCTAGTCAGCCAGAAAGGTACCTCTAGAACTTTACTAAGTTCTTCCTCTGCTTGAAAGGTCTGAGGCTTGGGATTTTCAGTGGAGGCAGCATTTTACTCAACATCTGTGTCTATGTCTGACTTAAAAAAGAAAAAAAAAATCCTGCAACCAGGACCTAACTCGTTCTTCCAGCTGCTTCCAAATAGCCTGCAGGAGCCTGAAGGGAGGCCCCTCTGTAGGGCTGAGTGACATCACGCCTCTCCTCTCCCTCCCCTCTTCCCACTCCCGCTCCCTGGGCAGCAGGAGGTCAGTTCTGAGGTTGGAAATGGAATCACCATCTGTATATTGGTCAGAGAAAGTCACTTTGCTCACTATTAGTTAAGAATTTATCTTTGCCAAAGAAATTAAGGTTTACAATGTGGTACTGTAATACTAGTCTTCACTATAATATGGTCTCATAGGCCTTAGCTCAGGAGCTCTGGATAGAATTAGTCTCAAGCGAGGACTTTTTTTTGAGACAGAGTCTCGCTCTGTCACCCAGGCTGCAGTGCAGTGGCACGATCTCGGCTCACTGCAACCTTCGCCTCACGGGTTCAAGTGATTCTCAAGTAAGGACATTTTAATACCACAGTTATAAAGCGGACAGAAGATTGGGTCACCTTACCCTGAAATATGTTGCCATTTTTCATAGTGAGAAATAGAAAGGTTGAGCAATTTGCCCAGATAAAGAGGTGAAACTAGCATTAAAATCCTGATGTGTTATCAAAGTATCATTGTACTCTGCAGTTTTCCAGCATATTTTATCATACTTCTGCTGTTTCAGGAATGTAGGTAGGACCATTATCATAACTAAGAGTTTGCATGTAATAGATGATGAAACTGAGGTCCATAGAGATTAACTTACTTGCCTAGGACCAAAGAGATGCTTAGACAGACCCAGTTCTCTTTGTTCCCAGACCAGGATGTTCCATCCTAGTGCACTTCTTTTATGCAGGATGGTTTTAGGACTTAGCTTCCCTGTCTAGAAAAAGATGCTGCTCTTGACGTGGACCACTTCCTTGCCCCAGATCCAGGAGCACAGTGGTCCTTCCATGATTCACACACATCCTTTTTCTGAGAATAAACAGGATCAGGCTAGGCACATTGGCTCACACCTGTAAACCCAGCACTTTCAGAGGCTGAAGCAGGAGGATTGCTTGAGGCCAGGAGACTGAGACCAGCTTGGGAAACAGGGAGATTCCATCTCTACAAAAAATTTTTTAAAAAAATTAGCTGGCATGGTGGCATGCACTGTAGTCCCAGCTACTCAGGAAGCTAAGGCAGGAGGGTCGCTTGAGTCCAGGAGGTTGAGGCTGTAGAGAGCCATGATCTTGCCATTGCACTCCAGCCTGGGCAATAGAGCAAGACCTTGTCTCTAAACAAATGAAGAAACAAAAAAAATAAACAGGACCATTAGTATCTGTTCCATTGTTACTAGATGGCCCACCATCTTTAGAGGTCTCATTGCTGTGGGGACTGCTCTGGGACCATTCCATGATGAGTTATTTGACATCTGAAGAGTCTTCAGTCAAATGAGGATGATGGAGAGGAAAATGGCCAAACATTTCTAGGTCTGTTGAGGGACAGAAGGAAAAATAGTTTCCTGCTTTTTACCTATTAAAAAAAAATCTCATTTTTTTTCATTTAATTTTGCATTTCCTCCTGCCTAGGAAGCTGGGGCAATGGTTTCTGAGCTCACTCTGAGTCCTTGAGCTCCCAGGTAATGGAGAGAACTTGGCCTCTGCAGTCAGAAGGATTTCTTAGTAGGCTTCTATATCCTAGGCCACTCCGCCATGAGCAGTGTCTTCCCTGACTCTGCCTAGGCACGGTGGAGTGAGCCAGGGCAGTGACTTAAGTTGTTTCATAAAGCTCTGCACCAGGCTTGGCCAGCTTGGCTAAATGCTGAAGTCCAAAATGGGTCCTGGCAAATCTTGCACAAAGATACGATTGCCCCTTTCTCAGCCTCTTGGGTCCTTTATTCACCCAGTAACATTTAACCAATTGCTTGAGCATTGGAGCTCTCATAATGTTTTGTTGTTATTGTTGCTCAAGAAGAAAGAAATCTCTATTTTTAAATACTAGCTTCATGGGATTTTCCATCTATGGTTATCTATATTTTATTTGAGAAAAAAATTATTATTATTAACATTTAATGACCCTGTTAGTTAGGATAGGCAATGCTATGCTGCAATAAGAAACACACCCCCTGCCAAGAGCAGTGGCTTACATCAGTAATCCCAGCACTTTGAGGGGCTGAAGCAGGAGGATTGCTTGAGGCCAGGAGTTTGAGACCAGCCTAGGTAACATAGTAAGACCCTGTCTCTACAAAAAATTTAGTCAGACATTTTGGCTTGTGCCTATAGTCACAGCTACTTGGGAGGCTGAGGCAGGAGGATCATTTGAGCCCAGGACTTTGTAGTTGTCATGAGCTATTATTGTGCCATTGCACTCCAGCCTGGGTGACAGAGCGAGACCCTGTCTCTTAAAAAAAAGACATAAAAAGAAATAACCCCAAAATTAATAATTGAACATAAAAACGTCATCACAGTTCAACGCATGTTGGGAGTTTCTCCTGTTTGGCTCCTCTCCAGGAAAAATTCAGGTACAGAAGTTGTTTCAGACTTGCAACTCTGTCATCTGAGTTCTTTGTTTCTAGAAGTTCAGATGAGAAAATAGATGGAAACAACACATTTGCTCTTAACTGCCCCAAACTAAAAGTGCTTGAAGTGGCTAAACTAAAAGTGCTTAAAGCAACTACTGAGTGTCCACCGGCCTTCCATAGATAAGCATTAATTACATGACCCTACCTATAATGAATGAGCACCTTTTCTCCACAATGGTTGTTTGCTATGTCAAGCAACTACTATGTTCTTTATTGGTTTTATATTTTAACATTCCACCAAAAAAAAAAAAAAAAAAAGAGAGTGAGAGAGTGAGAGAATGTGGACTCTAGAATTAGATTACTTGGATGTGAACTCTGGTTCTCTTACCTACTAGCTGTGTGACCTTGGGCCAGTTGAGGTACCCCTCTCTCTGTCTCTGTTATCTTGTGTGTAAAATAATAATATCTACCTATGTAGATGGGGCTATGAAGTGGGGCTATGAGCATCAAATGTGTTAGTTGATCTATGTAAAAAAGACTTAGAACAGTGCCTGGCACCTACCACTCAACAAGTGTGAGTTACTGTTTTCACCATTTTGTTGATGAAGGGCCGAAGAATCAGAGCAGCTCCACGAATCCATGAACAAGACAACGCTGGGCGAGACAACAGACTTGGCCCATCAACATCAGCTTCTTCAGCATTATAAACTTTCTCAGGAATAGGGAGGAAGTGTACTTATTAAGTATGCTTGACCCTGTGCTAGTCACATATATTTTCTCAATTATTCCTTCTAAAAAAGAGAACCGAAACTCAGAGAAGCAAAATAACATGCATAGCTGCTGGATTTAACCATGCTCATTTCATTACAAAATCATGTGCTCCTTCTTGAATTTTAAATAAAAAACTTGCTGGTGGGAAATCTTGCAGTCTTAGGGAAAATATTTTCTGAGACATCCCTCTAAACAGTCTCCTCCTCCCAGAAGCTCTTACATGTCCAGACCCCCCTGTTGCCTCCACTGTATGGATTGTCACAGATCAAAATGGAGAATGCACACTCTACCCCTCCAAACGTCAGACTACTTCTTTCCTGCTCACCAAATGCTATCACAGACGGTCCTTTTAGAAGTCACGCCATGGCATCCTGGAGTGAAGGCAAACAGGCTGCCTCCAGCTCCTCTGGGCTATCAGGGGAGATAATTTAAGGTCCTACTGGCTGGGTGCAGTGGCTCACGCCTGTAATCCTAGCACTTTGGGAGGCTGAGGCAGGTGGATCACTTGTGGTCGGGAGTTCGAGACCAGCCTGGCCAACATGGCGAAACCTTGTCTCCACTAAAAATACAAAAATTAGCCAGGTGTGGTGGCGTGTGCCTGTAATCCCAGCTCCTTGAAAGGTTGAGGCAGGAGAATCGCTTGAACCCCATAGGCGGAGGTTGCAGCGAAGCGAGATCGCTCCACTACACTTCAGCCTGGGCAGCAGAGAGAGACTCAAAAAAAACCAAAAAAATTTAAGGTCCTACCTCACAGCTCCCACAATCCACTGTCATAGTAGTGCCTTGTCTCCTTTCATGAGTCAGCTTTGCAGGTGTTTGTGTCTTATCCCTGGGGATGAAAAAAGATGTTCTGACACCAATAACTCTAACACAAGTCTGGAAAACAATTTGGAATCTGGGTTGCAGAAGGTAGCAGACACTAATGGAGCTCCAAGCCCATTTTTCTAAGATCCAGAGCAATTTCTTGCTTTCTGCACCTCTTGCATTTATTGTAATGTACTCCCAAGAAACCTGGCCATTAGCTCTGTATCTGCTTAAGAAACCTCCACTTTCAGAATCTTCAAGGCTGGAAGGAGAATGCAGCACCAGTCAGGTACCGTGACCTGAAGGTTGGCACCTTCGGAATTTTCCCAGCCGGATCCCAGCCATGTCTCTTCAGGAAACATAGGATTTGGAACCTGACAGCTTGAATGGGACATTCAACGTTTGGATTCTGAAGAATTCCAAACGTTCTTCAGGAATATTCGCTATAGATAAAAGTTTTATTCTGAATAATAAGAATGTGGAAGGCTGACCATATTTTACATTAATATTGTCCAATATGTTTATGTTGAACTTTTCTTCTACACATGAAATCTGAATTGCTCTGACTCATTACCTGCGAACATTTCCTTTCCACTGTGGGGCACACAGAAGTAACCAGGAGGCTGGGCGCCGTGGCTCACGCCTGTAATCCCAGCACTTTGGGAGGCTGAGCAGGCAGATCACCTGAGGTTGGGAGTTCGAGACCAGCCTGACCAACATGGAGAAACCCCATCCCTACTAAAAATACAAAATTAGCCAGGCGTGATGGCGGGTGCCTGTAATCCTAGCTACTTGGGAAGCTGAGGCAGGAGAATCGTTTGAACCCGGGAGGTGGAGGTTGCAGTGAGCCGAGATCACGCCATTGCACTCCAGCAGCCTGGGCAACAAGAGTGAGACTCTGTCTCAAAAAAAAAAAAAAAAAAAAAGTAACCAGGACACAGCACCTAACATTCCTGGGTGCAACACTGGATCGTTCTTTTCTCGTTTCAGTTATCTGCATTCGCTGAGCCATTTGCTACTTGTGTCTAATTTGATCTAAGTCAAAAGCATACCTGATAAAATGCCCTAGCAGGAAATTGTATCCCAGAATGATTTACATCATGGAATGGAGTAACCTAATGCTTCCAAGGAAGACTGCCAGGCATTTCCCCCTCTTTCAGTCCCCTTTCTATGAATTGACTTTATATATTTTTTTCTGGCTAGTAAAATTATTAAAACATTCCTCCTTTGGCTTAATAAATTAGCTTTAAAATCTTAATTGCCGCTGGGCACAGTGGGTCATGCTTGTAATCCCAGCACTTTGGGAGGCCAAGGTGGGTGGATGACTTGAGGTCAGGAGCTCCAGACCAGCCTGGTCGACATAGCAAAACCCCGTCTCTACTAAAAATACAAAAAATTAGCCGGGCATGGTGGCATGCGTCTGTACTCCTAGCTACTCAGGAGGCTGAGGCAGGAGAATCTCTTGAACCTGGGAGGCGGAGGTTGCAGTGAGCTGAAATCACGCCGCTGCTTTCCAGTCTGGGTGGAGTCTCAAAAAATAATAATAAAATTAAAAACTAATTAATTAATTAAAATATTAATTACCATGAAGTCTTGTGAGGCTCTTCACTTTTTTGAAAGTACAGTACTGAAATATTCAATGCAGCATTCTTTGAATACTGAAAAAAGATAAATAATCTAAATGTCATTAAGAAACAAGTAAATTATGACACATGCATTTTAAAGAGTTAAGAGAAGTATATTAATATCCACAAATTTCTTATACATACATAGATATTAATGATGTTCAAATTATATGCAGATTGAAAAAATTAGTTGCAGAAGTTGTGTTTTCAAAGTCTCAGAAAACAACCTGATAACAGGGGAGGAAACTAGGATTAGCATACTAATCAAAAGTGACTTGAAATTGATCTGTAATGTTGGACTTTTTATGTGGGAATATATTTGTGTGCTACTTGTATAATTAAGATAAATAAAAATAAAACATTGTATAAAAAAGTGGTTTTACAATAACCTCAAAGGTGCCTGGAAGGTCTCTGAGGCCATTCAGGTGTGGAGGAGCTGCCCTCTTGTGGAGTTTTGGAGTAGTTTTTACTCCCGAATCAAAGAATTTACTGTGTGTTTTCATTCAGAAAACACTGGAGTGCCAATTTCAGACTTAGAGATCAATCTCTCATGATTGTCCTGTAAGAAAAAAGACAGTAAAGGTTTCGTGGCTTTCCAAAGGTCACTTAGAGTTTCAGGCAAGTCATAATTACAGACCAAGTCTTCTGATTCCTAGCTGGTTCTTTCAACTATTCTGCCTCCCCTAAAGCATGAGCCAGTTAACTGTTAAATAAAACCCACTGTGGCCGGGCGTGGTGGCTCATCCCTGTAATCCCAGCACTTTGGGAGACTGAGGCGAGTGGATCACGAGGTCAGGAGATCGAGACCATCCTGGTCAACATGGTGAAACGCCATCTCTACTAAAATACAAAATTTAGCCAGGCATGATGGCACTCTCCTGTAGTCCCAGCTACTCGGGAGGCTGAGACAGGGGACTCACTTGAACCCGGGAGGTGGAGATTGCAGTGAGCTGAGATCATGCCACTGCACTCCAGTCTGGCAACAGAGCAAGACTCCGTCTCAAATAAATAAATAAATAAAACACACTGAAATGTGTTTAGAAAGACTTCAGGTGCTATACAACATACAGTACCTGGTATGAGAAGTCACTGAATAATAAGAATGTGGAAGGGTGACCAGATCACCAAGGTCTTTCTGGGTTTTTGAGAAACAAGGATGGACAATGCTTTTATTTTGTACTGGATTGTAAAATTTAATTTTAAAAATCTTGTTTTTTTTTTTTTTTTTTTTTTTTTGAGACAGAGTTTCACTCTTGTAGCCCAGGCTGGAGTGCAGTGGTGTGATCTTGGCTCACTGTAAACTCTGCCTGTCTCTTGGGTTCAAGCGATTCTCCTATCTCAGCCTCCCAAGTAGCTGGGATTACAGGTGCGTGCCACCACGTCTGGCTAATTTTGTATTTTTAGTAGAGATGGAGTTTCACCATGTTGGCCAGGCTGGT
Source organism: Homo sapiens (assembly GCF_000001405.40). Taxonomy (NCBI): domain Eukaryota; kingdom Metazoa; phylum Chordata; class Mammalia; order Primates; family Hominidae; genus Homo; species Homo sapiens. The sequence goes on along the minus strand of NC_000001.11, from coordinate 241,895,552 downwards.
CTTGAACTCCTGACCTCAGGTGATCCGCCTGCCTCAGCCTCCCAAAGTGCTGAGATTACAGGCAGGAGTCACCATGCTCGGCCTTAAAAGATCTTGTTATTGGGGTAAAATATACATAATTTTTATCATCTTAACAATTGTAAGGGGATGATTAAGTGGCATTAAGTACCTTCATATTGTGCAACCATCACCACCATCCATCTTCAGAATTTTCCATTGTAAAACTGAACTGACATATTTAATAGAAGCATTACCCTCAAAGCTGCATCTAGCCATTAAGCAACATCTGAATGTAATAAGTTGAGTATTGGGGCAGAATAGGGAAGTGACCAGGACTTGTCTCTAGCCACAGATGACTCACTTACCTGTTTCAAATATGTGATTATGCTACGGCCCAGTTAATTCTTCTGGTCATGTTATATATAGCTGTATCCCTAGACTTCTCTAGCCTGAGATGATCAAGGAATGAATAAAGGGTGATGATGGGTCCTCTATGACCCGTTAAAAAACAAAGATTTGGGACTTTATTTCTGCCTAGGATGGAGGAAGCTGGAAAAAAGATTCATTCTCACATTAGTAACAAGAAAAACTGGATAATCTACAAAATCATAACTTTCCTTTAAATCATTAGAGGGCTGGGCTGGGTGCGGTGGCCTGTAATCCCAACACTTTGGGAGTCTGAGGCGGGCAGATCACTTGAGGTCAGGAGTTCGAGACCAGCCTGGCCAACATGGTGAAACTAAAAATACAAAAATTAGCCAGGCGTGGTGGCAGGTGCCTGTAATCCCAGCTACTTGGGAGGCTGAGGCAGAAGAATAGTTTGAGCCTGGGAGTCAGAGGTTGCAGTGAGCCAAGATCATGCCACTGCACTCCAGCTCGGGTGACAGAGTGAGACTTCGTCTCAAAAAAATAAAAAATAAAAAATAAAATAAAATCATTAGAGGGCTAAGATTGCAGGGCAAAAGTAGCCTGAACTCTAAGGATAGATGGGATGGCCCAAGGACAGCCACAATGCTAGCACTGGCTTATCTGGGACACAGCATGGAAGGATGATGGGGCCTCTGTATAACAGAGTAAGAATTCAACTAAAGTTTTTTCTTTGCTAGTTTTTGTTTGGTGTTTTTGTTTTGTTTTGTTTTGTTTTTGACAGGTCTCATTCTGTCACCGGGGCTGGAGTTGAGTGATGTAATCATGGCTTACTGCAGCCTTGACCACCTGGGCTCAAGCGATCCTCCCACCTGAGCCTCCCGAGTCTGAATTTTGCTAGTTGTACACTCATGCTTCATTCAGTTCAACATGTTCCACTGTCCTCTGAATCTCCTGCAATGTAGCAGGCAGCTGAACCCAGAGGCATAATCAGACTCATTTCTAATCTCTGTGGCAAAACTATAGGTGATGTTGAGCCCTTTCATTAGCAGGCATAAAATGTCTGGTTGTCTTTCTTTTTTTTTGAGACAAGGTCTTGCTCTGTCATCCAGGGTGGAGTGCAGTGGCACAATCACAGCTCACTGCAGCCTCAATCTGTTGGGCTTAAGTGATCCTCCCATCTCAGCCATGGGGGTAGCTGGGAATACAGGCACATGCCACAGCATCTGGCTAATTGAAACAATTTTTTTTTTTTTTTGTAGAGATGAGATCTCAGTATGCTACCCAGGCTGCTCTCGAACTCCTGAGCTCAAGCAATCCTCCCTCCTTGACCTCACAAAGTGGTAGGATTAGAGGCGTGAGCCACTGTGCCTGGTCTTTTTGTGATGTTAGAGCAATTGATGCACAAAATTCAAATTTATTGATCCACTGGGTATTGAAAAATATATGATCTTAATTATTAGAACACTAGAAAGAGATATGTCCTTCATCTGCCATTTAGTTACCCAGTTGTACTGTTCATAGAGGAAAGACAGGAAAATGCTTTTTTGCTTCAAGTTTTCAAGACAATGAATACTCCATCATCCTCCAAGGTGACCAATTATTCTTAATGTTTATGATGGGTTTTAGTAAATTGCAATTATCTTCTTTGAAGACCAAAGTTTCCCACATTTGCACAGTGGGGGCCCCTTTAAGCTGGCTCTTGAATCTTTTGGAAATTACCTAGCAGCCTTTGTTAACCTCTATTTTTATTTTGTTTTGTTTTGTTTTGTTTTTGAGATGGAGCTTCGCTCTTGTTGCCCAGGCTGGAGTGCAGTGGCGGGATCTCGGCTCACTGAAACCTCTGCCTCCTGGTTTCAAGTAAGTCTCCTGCTTCAGCCTCCCAAGTAGCTGGGATTACAGGCATGCGCCACCACGCCCGGCTAATTTTGTATTTTTAGTAGAGATGGAGTTTCACCATGTTGTCCAGGCTGGTCTTGAACTCCTGACCTCAGGTGATCCGCCCACCTTAGCCTCCCAAAGTCCTGGGATTACAGGCATGAGACACTGCACCCAGCCCCTCTATTTGTTGTGACAAGATGTCCTAGGCTTATCTTTTACACTTCCTGCCAGACTATTTTCCCCAAATTCTCGTTTTAATGAAAAAAACAAAAAGGTACTTTGAAACCACAAGCTGACGTGTTAAGCATCCTGATAGTTATGAATTTGTATTGAACATACTGGTACAAACTCATGAATGTGTATATTCACACATATCTACATGTATTCATATACATTCATGAGTTTATACCACTACGTCCAATTCAAATTCATAGCCATAGGTTTTTTTTTTTTGTTTTTTTTTATTTTTTTCAAAAAATTACATGTTCTGTATTCTCTATCTCCTTTTCCTCACATTAAAATCCCTGGTTCTAGGCTGGGTGCAGTGGCTTATGCCTGCAATCCCAGCACTCTGGGAGGCCAAGGTGGGTGGATCACCTGAGATTAAGAGACCAGCCTGGCCAACATGTTGAAACTCCATCTCTACTAAAAATACAAAAATGAAGCTGGGCATGGTGGCACACACCTGTAATCTCAGCTCCTTGGGAGGCTGAGGCAGAATTGCTTGAACCTGGGAGGCAGAGGTTGCAGTGAGCTGAGATTGTGACACAGCGAGACTCCATCTTGAAAAAAAAAAAAAAGGGACCCTGATTCTCAAGAAAACAGGATTTCAAATATCCTATAAATAGTAATTATTCTATTCCAGTCTACACACAGTCCCAAAATATCAGACTACCACCAGCTAAACCAAATGTTTTTGCATATGCTTTTACATACTATACTTTAACTCTTAAATTATATAAGCAACACATGCTTAATATTCACCACCAGTCTGTCACTATTTCTTTAGTCATTGTGGTTATCTGGAGCTCATTTTCTGATGTTCCTGATGAAGAGCTTAAGGGAACAACATTTCCCATTTCCCAAATTTGTCTATGTAGGATAAGTTTGTACCAGCCTTTTATGCTTATAACTTTATTAGATATGAAAACCTCAGCTCACATTTTTCTTTGGGTATCTCGAAAATGGTCAATCCATTTTCTTCAGGCATAAAGTATAATTGTGAAGAAAGTCTGATCACCATCTTTCATTTCACCTGGTTTTGCCTAGCCAAAAAGTTTTCTCCCTTTAAAGTATTATATTATTTATGTCCTGGTGTTAGCTGCTGCTTAGGTACCACAGTTCACTTTTAAAATATTGTTTTATATATTTAAATAAAACATTTTCTAAGATTATAGGGTTTTGTTGTTGTTTCAAATTCCTATTATCTGTATGTTGGGCCTTGTCATTTTCTAATTAAACAAAAATTGGGTTTTTTAAATTCCTTTTTATTTTTACCTCTTTTTAAAGGAATTATCCATAGTGTTTATATTGCATCTCTGGTATCTTTTTATTTCCAGTGTTTTCCTGAGTTTATCTTATTTCTGATTCTTGTAATCCTAAATTTGTCATATTTTATATCATTTTTCTAATATCTTTTAGCACATTTTAAACGAACTAGTTTTGCTCTGCTCTGTAGACCTTTCTGATAGATCTTCATTGCCCAGAAATCTTATCTTTGCTCTTTCTTTTCATTAAAATAACTTTGTATGAGATTCATCTAAAAACTTTCCTTAGTTTCTTAAGTAAATTCCATTTCCTAAACTTTGAGAAGGAAGCATGATTCACGGGAACTTCCCTGTTTCTTTCTAAGTGTTCAAAACCAGTATTCTGCTGAGAGATTTTGGTTGACTATCCCCTATTCTACTTGTATTTGGACCTTCTCTTCATCTTTCTCTTCTTCAATTTGGCTTCACCCCAGCAGTTTCTCTTCTGTGGGGAACGCTGTCCTGGAAGAGAACCTTGGTGAACTCAGCGAATCAGTTCTAACACTTTCTAGGGGCTAGCTTGCTTCAGTCCTTCAGACCTTAATACAAGCCTCTTGGACTCACCCACCTTTGAAATGGGCAAAGCCTCTCCCACTTGAGTGCTGTTTTCAACCTGGCCTGCTGTTTCTGTGATGACCCTGAGGTTCTGTTCTCAGGCCATTAGATGCCGTTTCCTCACTCTGCTTCACCTGAATTGATGCCAATGCCAGCTTGTGGTCTTGTGGCTATCTTCACCCACTTACGTTGCTCATGGATTTTTATTTTGCTATCCAGTTGCTATTATATGGTGATTTGGAGATTGAAAACTATGGCACTGCTGCCATCTGCCCTTTCTCCCACACTAGTTTTAAAGATTTCCAAAACCAATCCTATTTCCAGCCTTATTCTGCACCTCTGGCTTTAGAGGAATCTGGATATCTCCATTTGTCAAGCTTATTAGATTTTTACCTCTTCTAGTCTTCTGCCACTGACAATTATCATTTCTTTGTGAAATCACTTACCACTCATCCATCAGTTTCCTTGCCTGATGTCTCTTCTTCCATTCTATTAACCTTGTGGATTTGTCTTATTCCTTTTCTGTCATTTAAGTAGCATTTTTAGTGAGTGAGGGGATAAATATTTGAAGACAACGTTTGACTCACATTCCTAATTTATTTTATAACAGGAAACATGCATGGAGAATTCAAATCTGCTTTTGTTCTTTGGATTAGGTCTTTTCCAGATTGGGCCTTTTTGGGTTTTAATTTTGTAATAGCTTTAGTTAGCTTTTATTCCATTCTGATCTCATTTTCCTAGAGTCCTCTACCAAGTCTCACTCAAAAATATAAATACTTTGGCTCTCTTTCCTTTATCCTCTATATCACAAATACTTTTATAATTCCTTTAATTCCTGTCACTTCAGATCCTCACTTGTGCAGCTGGTTCTCTTTCCAGGTATCTGCCCATTTATTTGCAGAGTGTACGTGTCACAGACCTTGCAGCTTTAGTATCTTATGTAGTGTTTAGGGGACTAGTTTTAAATACATGTTAAGAAAGCTTTAGCCTATACTTCAAAATATATATATTAAAACTGAGGCTATTTTGAAGTTTAAAAATATTAATGATATAAGAAGTATTTCCTTTCATATGAGGCTGAAAATTTTCCTTCAGTGTCAACCTATAATCCAACCAAACCCTTCAGGGATAAGAGAGCACTGTCTCATTTGTGTAATGATCTTTAACCCTTCCAATTACCCCTCCCATCTCAACAACTTTATTTTCAATTCAACCCTGAAGGACAGATGGGAAAGGCAAGTGGAAAACTTTAAAGCCTGGAGAAACACAGTGATTTCCTCTAGGATTGTAGTTTCTCCATTTACTATCTTTCTACTTGACAACATTACAGAAATATTTAGAGTAGACTTTTATAAACTCCAGAGGATTTTCCCAATTAACACTAAAACCTCCAAAAACCTGTCAGAGATACAATTATTCTTCTATTTAGCTTCTTATAAAAATATAAAAAGCTGAGCAAAAAAACCACAACCCAATTATAAAGTTAATATACAAAATGTATTCTATTTTTAAAATGGCACAGAATGAGAAAAAATTCTTCATGCTGATAAGTGCCTCATTCCCAAACAGGGACTTCAAATTGATCAGATTCTCTTGCAGGCAAAAGCTTTGCAGCAGTCTGCATTTACTGGAATATTGCTCTTTGAACACGGCCACATTCAGGTTTGTTAAATATATCCTCTTCCGCTTCTGGAGTTAGTTGGATGTTATCTCTGACTGGGGACAGGGGTTTCTTACAAGGAGGAAGCTTTTCAGAATCTCTGCAAAATACAATAAAATACATTTGGTATTTTTAAGGTACTGATTATTAGAGAAGAAATATTCTACCTGGACAAAATAGAGGGACATGAAGAGGATAAGACCCTTTACTGTACGATCTCTTTCAATTCATTATATAACACAATCAGGTTCTCCTGTGAGCACTCCCAATACATTCTGAGTCTCACTTCTTAGTGCCTCTTCTTGCTTTCAAAATCACTATTCAGTGTAGGTGCTGGGCCACCACTAGATATATTAGCTAAGGCAGAATGATTCCAATACTTTAATTCTTTTCTCCTTAGTGCCCTTCTCAAGTCTGGTTAAGAACTAATATAAGTGAAGCAGGAACAAATGGTTAAGCCCTGGTTAAATCTTATTATTATTTTTTTTCTTTTTTGAGATGGTCTCGCTCTGTCACCCAGGCTGGAGTGCAGTGGCACGATCTTGGCTCACTGCAACCTCCACCTCCTGGGTTCAAGCGATTATCTTGCCTCAGCCCGAGTAGCTGGAACTACAGGCGTGCACCACCACACCTGGCTAATTTTTGTATTTTTACTACAGATGGGGTTTCACCATGCTGGCCAGGCTGGTCTCAAACTCCTGACCTCAAGTGATCTGCCTGCCTCAGCCTCCCAAAGTGCTGGGATTACAGGCGTGAGCCACTGTGCCTGGCCTAAGCCCTGTCTTTTATTCCCCTCTCGGTTGTTTTCTCTTTTTTCTTTTCTGGAAGGAAGCTATCTATAAAAATTAATCCTGTTATGAAGATATTACAGGTAATTCTATCTCCTGTCAACAAAAATTAAATACCAGTACATCTTTTTTTCTCAAAGGTATTTAAGAATACTGTTGCACCCTTAATTTCTGTCTAGCAACAGTTTTCAAAGCATGTTCCACAACCCCTGGAGAGTCCCAAGATCCTTTGAACGGTTTCCAAGACCAAAACTATTCTTACAATATTCAGACTTTGTTCATCCTTTCCACTGTGCTGACCCTTGCATGGATGTTGCTAAAGCAGAACAGAGTGAAACTGCTGACAACTCAGTGTGAATCAAGACAGTGGCATCACACCGTACGAGTCATACCAGGACTATTTGTATTCTCCACCTCTGCGCACTTGCAGTTAAAAAAAAGTCTCAAAAATGTTCTTGATGGAAGCAGTACAAATCATTAATTTTATTAAATCTCAACCCTTTGGTATACTTTACATTTTTTTTTAAATTTTTTTGAGACAAGGTCTCGTTCTGTTGCACTCTGGCTGGAGTGCAGTGCCGCAATCTCAGTTCACTGCAACCGCCACCTCCCGGGCTCAAGCAATTCTGCCACTTCAGCCTCCTGAGAAGCTGGGACTACGGCCACATGCCACCACGCTCAGCTAATTCTTTGGTATACTTTTTAATATTCTGTGACAAAATGGAAAGCACAAACAAAACACTTCTATTGTGTATGGAAGTATGATAGTTTACCTCAAGTAAAAGCATGTGTGACACTAAGGTCATTCAGGACTTCTCTAAAATTTGGAACAAAAAGGGGCCAGGCGTGGTGGCTCATGTCTGTAATCCCAGCACTTTGGGAGGTTGAAGCAGGTGGATCACTTGAGGTCAGGAGTTCAAAACCAGCCTGGCCAACACAGCGAAACCCGATCTCTACAAAAAATATAAAAATTAGTAAGGCATGGTGGCAGGCGCCTGTAATCCCACCTACTTAGGAGGCTGAGACAGGTGAATCACTTGAACCCAGGAGGCGGAGGCTGCAGTGAGCTGAGATTGTGCCACTGCACTCCAGCCTGGGTGACAAAGAGAGACTCTGTCTCAAAATAAATAAATAAATAAACAAACAAATAAAATGAGCAAAGAGAGCCTGTTACTTTAAAGAAAAACAACTAAGAGTATTTGTTGCTAATGATAAAATTCAAGCTTTCAAATGAAAATTAAAATTTTGGAAAACGTATCTGCCACACAACAGTTTTCCAATATTAAAGGCTTTGTTGATTGTGACTTTTTTCTTATATTGTATAATAAAATATATCAATATTTGGAAGTACATCTCAATTAACCAATATTTTCCAAAAGACCAACTCATGATGTTACATGTAAAAGATGCATTAAAAGTGCACCAGTGTAGGCCAGGCAAGGTGGCTCACACCTCACATAACAACTTAAATAATTAACTGGGGCTGGTGGCACAAGCCTGTAGTCCCAGCTACTCAAGAGGCTGAGGCAGGAGGACTGCCTGAGCTCAGGAGCTCGAGGGTACAGTGAGCCATGATTGTGCCATTCCAGCCTAGGCAACAGAAAAAAGGGACACCAGTGGACTGCAATAAAACACAGAGTACAAAAAGTCAGTTGATATGGTTTCATATTCTACACTATCACTGACCTAAAGAAACTACAAGTTGTTGGATTTAGACATAACAGCAAAGAAGAAAATTTACCACTATCTAAAAAGGCTATCAAAGTATATATTTTCTAACTACAAATATGTCTATTTCCTTCATATACTCAACCAAAACACCAAATCATAACAGATCAAATGTAGAAGCAGATACAAGAATCCGGCTGAGCTCTATTAAGCCAGACAGTAAAGATTTGCAAACTAGATAGTAAAGATTTGCAAAATGAAATGTAAAGCCATGCCACTTTTCTTACCTTTTGGGGGGATTTGGAAAATATAGCTATTTATTTTTTAAATGTACTATCTACATTCATGTAATAGGCTTATCATTATTTTAAAATAGATATTTTAAAATGTCTATTTCAATTTCTATGATGGTTAAGTGTTGACAAATATAACCTAAATAAACCAAAGTATTTTGGGGCCTTTAATAATTTCTAAGAGTATAAAGCATTCCTGAAAAGAAAAAGTTTGAAAACTGCTGTCATATGGTTTAATCCTAGACTTTACACAATGTAAAATAAGAAACGATTGTCCAGCACTTACTTATTTACAAAGTGTTTCCCACTCATACCGCCTCATCTATGACAATATTTCTACTAGGTAAGGTTTAATCCTATCATTCCATATAATTAAAAAAAACTTTTATTAAACAGCACATTTCTTTTATTGAGAACAAGAAAATAGCTATAAGGTAATGCTACTCTGTGGCTAATTTTGTGGTCTAACAGAAGGAAGTATTATGGTTAACAAAAATTTAACTATATAGAAGATGAATTCTTTTAAAACAGTGCTGGCCACATACACTGCAAATCTGGCAAATTCATCATATAAACTCAATGAGTCTCCCCATTTTAGATGTGATAAATTAGAGAAGTACGATATTGCACTGTGTTTCTACCCCTTCTTTAAAATTTTATTCTTGTCTGGGCGTGGTGGCTTACGCCTGTAATCCCAGCACTTGGGAGGCCGTGGCGGGTGGATCACCTGAGGTTGGGAGTTCGAGACTAGCCTGACCAACATGGAGAAACCTCGTGTCTATTAAAGATACAAAATTAGCCAGGCGTGGTGGTGCATGCCTGTAATCCCAGCTACTCGGGAGGCTGAGGCAGAAGAATTGCTTGAGCCCAGGTGGCGGAGGTTGCGGTGAGTGGAGATCGCACCATTGCATTCCAGCCTGGGTAACAAGAGCAAAACTCTCTCAAAAAAACAAAAAACAAAAAACAAAAAACAAAAAACCAAATAAAATTTTATTCTCTTTACAATCCTGAGAGATAAGAAAAGGAAGGCAGGAGACTTAAGGCCTAGGAAAGCAATTTGCTTCACATCAGAGAGACTCCAAAACCAGACTGAAAACTGGTTTTTAGTTTGCCATCTTTTTATGAAAAGAAGGTATAGAAATTGATATTAAGTATAAAGAGTTAGCTAAAGGGAAGAGAGAAAAATAATTATTTTATAGTGAGAGAAACAAAAACTCATACGAAACTAGGAAGAGTTGGGAGAAAGGGATGGAAATTACAGAAAATAACAGTTTATCTTGTTTCAGAATAAGAAACAAGGCAACTCACTTTTTAAATCCAAAGTTTTTCCAGAGCTCATTGAGTTTGATCTGTAACCCCGGCTTGTTCTCGGCATTATGATGCTTTCTCTTCTGGATGCTTGCCGGCTTCTTGCTCAGCCCACTGGCTCTGGCAGGTCCTAGAGGTTTGATCTTGGTTGTAGAAAGAGAGTCTGCAGAACTGGACTTATATAGCCCAGGAACCTGAAGATTAAACACCCATTTTAAGACCATTCTGTTAAAGCAACTAACTTTAATTTCAAGCTATTCTTTATTCTTTACTTATTTATTTATTTATTTATTTACTTTTTGAGATGGACTCTCACTCTGTCGCCCAGTCTGGAGTGCAGTGGTGCGATCTCGGCTCACTGCAAGCTCCACCTCCCGGGTTGACGCCATTCTCCTGCCTCAGCCTCCCGAGTAGCTGGGACTACAGGCACCCGCCACCACGCCTCGCTAATTTTTTATATTTTTAGTAGAGACGGCGTTTCACCGTTTTAGCCAGGATGGTCTCGATCTCCTGACCTTGTGATCTGCTCGCCTCAGCCTCCCAAAGCGCTGGGATTACAGGCATGAGCCACCACACACGGCCAAACTATTCTTTATACATAAGAACAAAATAACCCATGAGCAATGGTAAAAATGTGCTATTTATAAAAGTCTATTACAGAAGTCATCATAAATTATTTTAACAGGTAATATGTAAACCTGGCATAAAATTTAAAAGTTCTCTCTTTTGTAAAGGAACAGAGAGCAAAATGAATGTCTCTCGCTGCCTCCCTTTCCAGAGGCAATTGCTGCTCCCAGCTTCCTATGCATCCACTGACTTACGTGCACGTGCACACACACACACACACACACACACACACAGGCAGCATAGTACACATTGTTGTGCACTTCATTTTTCTCACTTAATATATCTTGATTCCTCTTAATGATGTAACTTAGAGATTTTTTTCAGTTCACAGGAAATAGAATTTTATTTTGAATAGGTTGCCTGTTCTTGCATTGTATATATATGCCATAACTTACTTAAACAAACCTCTATTGACATTTAGGCTGTTTCTACTAAGGGTTGATTTTTACCCTGTGGACAGAATGGAGACAATGAAGTTTTGTTATTGTTTCTTAAGATAGTAAGAATGAGGTATATTAAAAAAGGTTTACAATATGAATCTGGCAGTGTGTGTAGGAAGAATGAAAAAGTTAAAACAAAATAAAGGTTCACACAGTAAAGATGAAATCCTTAAATATGTGTTGTGATGGGGAAAAAGTGAGGGAGAAAAAAGAAGGCAAAGAAATAAACGTTAGAATTTGGAGAGGTATCGATGTTTGGTTGTTTTTCTCTAACTGCTGTAGAAGGATCAAACTGACAGTTATCAAGAAAAAGGACAACCTTAGGATTTTGAAACTAAGTGGCAGATAATATAATTTTATTTAATAGATAAAACAAAAAACGTTCCGAGAAGAAATAGAGGTAAAAGACACGAGTTTGATTTTAGGTATTAAAGATGGGTATCAGGGAGAGCTCACCTGAAGGGTCACCAAAACAGAAGTGGTAGTTAAATCCCTGACAATGCAAATGTCTGAGAATAATAATAATAATATGATGGTTTACTATCTAGACATAACTCCTTCAGGAAAAGTACTTTCTACATCTCCAGTTCTATCCATCATTGTAAATAATTCTGCATGTATCTTTCCAGACTTCTTAATAGGATGCCACAAACATGCAAATGTGTACATGAATATTTTAAAGTATTTAAACAAAAACACTATACATATTGTTAATAACATATTTTTCCTTTTCACTAATAATGAATGTCTTTTCAAGTTAGTAGATATGATTGCAAAAAACTTCTTGCTCAAAAATTTAAAAAATAATCTCATATTTACATATTTCATATTTGTATCTTTAATGTACTGGAATTTGCTGTGGACTGAATGTTGTGTCTCCCTCACATTCATATTGAAGTCCTAACCCCTTAACTCCTAATGTGATGGTGGGATTTTTGAGAGGTGATTAGATCATGAGAGTAGAGCCCTCATGAATGAGATTAGTGCCCTTAAGAAGAGGTACAAAAGAGATATTCTCTCCCTCTACCATGTAAGGACACAGCGAGAAGGCATCTGTCTGCAAACCAGGAAGTGGGCTCTCACTCAGACCTTGGACTTCCCAGCCTCTAGAACTGTGAGAAATAAATATTTATCATTTAAGCAAATCCAGTTTCTGGTATTCTGTTATAGCAACCCATATTGACTACAGTAGAATTTACATTTATATTGTGTGAGACTACATCTTCTTTCAAATGGATAGCCAGGGCCATTTATTAAAATTTTAAAAAGTAAGAAGTTTTTATGCTACTAGAAACATAATATATGCTCATGGTAGAAAAACACAAGAAAAAGAACAGAAAAAAATTCACCTATATTTCTACCAGTAAGAGCTAAAACCAATGATTATTTAATAACTCACTCCCTTATTGTTATTTAGGTTATTTCCAATTTTTCACTATTATAACCAATGCAGTATTAAGTATTCTTGTATTTAAATTCTCAATGTTTCCTTAGGCTAAAGTTCTAGAATGCACTTACTGGTTTAAATTATTTGAACTCTTTCAAATTTTTTTCTAGAAATGGCAGACCAATACTTACTTTTTAAAACATGTGATTATCTCACTATACTCTCATAAAAAATGAGTATAATTAAAAACATTTTTTTGAAATATGAAGAGGCAAGAAACTATTTTATTATTTTAATTTGCACTACTTGATTACTAATGAGGTTAAACATACGGTTAAACAAATGAGGTTAAACACATATTAATCAACCATTGGTACTTTTCCTTTTGTGACCTGTTTATGACCTTTATCCATCTTTTAAGTTAGGAAATGGTGTTTTTATACTGATGAACAAGAACATTTAATATATAAAATATGCTTTAATTCGTGCTTAATATATAAAATATGCTTTACTATGTAGTAACACAAATATTTATATATTTTGATTCAACAAACCTAGTTTATCATGGGTACACAGTTTCTAGAAGGCCTTTTGGCAGTATGTATCAATGTTAAATCATACATGCCTTGGGACCAGTAATACCACTCCATGCAATTCATCCTTACAAACTAATCAAGAACATGTCCTCAAATATTTATCCACAAGATCTTGGTTGCAGTATTATTTGCTAGAGCAAAAAAATTTAGGGTAAATGACAAAAATAAGGGGATTGACCAAACCTATACAACTGCATATTATAAAGTCATTACATTAATGACTAAAAGTACTTGGAAAGTGATCTTTCATATACACTGCAAGAGAAAATAAGTTTCACAACTTAAACACCTACAGTCAAGCATAAAGTTTTAAAGTAGACATTTTTATATAAATGAGACTACAGGTATTTTGATTTTTAATTCTGCTTGTATTTCTCATTTTCTAGTTGTAAGCATACACCGCTTCTGAAATTAAAAAAAAAATTAAATAAATGTTTTACCTTGTTCCTTAGAGGTGTGTCTTTTTTTGAGAAATGAGATAAACGTAGCTTGGAGGTCTGGTCACTTTGACTGTCAAGTAACTTAATATTGCAATCAGATTCCTAGAGTCCCCAGATCAAAAAATAAAATAAAATTAGATTTTTACTGTAGAATTTTTATGACAACAAACTAATATTCAACAAAATGGAAGATAAATAAGAACATGGGATAGAATTAATAAAAGAAAATGAATAATATGGAAAGGATGATATTTGCCAATTTCATTGAAGAAGCTAACAAGATGTTTCAGCTGGAGAGGTAAATTATATAAAATATCTATTTAAAATTAAAGTCTTTTCTGAACTGTTAGAAGAGGATGTTAAAATGCTGAGTCAGATAAAACAAGAGTCTCCTAATGTAAAAACGCTGCGTTACGCACGTGTGGTTAAGTTTTCATCTTACTAGCTAAAATAAGTTGAACTGGTGCAGCTCCATCCCTTCTTTTAATCATGTAACACGTTCAACTTTAAAAAGAAAAAAACGCATCCACTTTCAAGTGGAGTAGCATTGTATTAAATGCACTTCACCTTTAGCAATGACTTTCAGACCTTTCTGCCCCCAATTCTATCAGATAAGACTTCTCTATAGATGGAGAGTTCCCTTATAATCTGCATTCCCATGAAAGTCAAATAAAAGAGGACAGTAAGGCCAGGGGCGGTGGCTCATGCCTGTAATCCCAGCACTTTGGGAGGCCAAGGTGGGTGGGTAGATCACTTGAGGTCAGGAGTTCAAGACCAGCCTGGCCAACATGGTGAAATCCTGTCTCTACTAAAAATACAAAAATTAGCCGGGCATGGTGGCACATGCCTGTTGTCCCAGCTACTTGGGAGGCTGAGGTGGGAGAATCGCTTGAACCCGGGAGGTGGAGGTTGCAGTGAGCCGAGATTGTACCACTGCAATCCAGCCTAGGCAACAGAGCAGACTTAAAAAACAAAAAAACAAAACAAAACAAAAGAGCAATAAAAAACCCAATAGTGAAAAGCACTCCATTAACTTGTATTATACCTTACAGAAACTCTAACATTCTTTGCTCATAGCTAACAGTATTGGTGACTCTGGGCTAAATCACTTCCTGAAGATCACAAGGAAGGTCCTAAGAAGACTTCAACCTCAAATATGGTCAATGAACTCAACACAGAATCTATGGTTGTTGTTTTTCACAGTGAACTACCGACAGAAGGCTCAAATATTGAAGCATTTTCTTCTGAACTATAGGATAAAAACTGATATTCAAAATGATGCCCCAATGTTTCACAGCTTTCTGAAACATTTTCTCCATCAAAGAAAGATTATATGATTTTCATGTCAACTGTCAGCATCAGATTCTTTGAGAATTAACTATTCTAGTAGGAGTTTACTACATCTGGCAGCAAGAGAGAGGACTTAATGAATTATTCCTAGTTTTGTTCAGTTCGTTTATTTTCAGTGGGGCATGGCTAGGGGAGGAGGATTCACATTTCTATAACCATTAGTACATAAAAAAAGGTTAGCCCAGAAGACAAAATGTGGAGTTCTACCAGCCTACAGTGTGAACTGATAAGGCTTCTCAGGAAAACATGGCTAAACGCTTCCAAAGTAAATGAAATAGTAAGATGCATGCTGGAAATATAAAAAAGATAACCCCAAAGGAGCTCAGCAGACTTAATATCCTCACAAATTGACAGTGATGTTTTTATGAAAGATGTTCAAGATAGCCACTGCCGTGGTACCCAAGTGGCAGTAAGAGAAGATGCAGTATGAAGCAGAAATGAAAAAGACGAGATAAAGACGTTCATAGGAAGAGAAACAGACAGTCTTCTAGACCAGTATGCACACCTGTGTTACTGTTTTGTTTTGTCATAAGGAGAAATTTAGAAGGAATAAGAAGAGTAAATGAAAATATATTTCTGAAGTACTAAAACTTAAGATGAATACCATTGCATTAACAGGGTTATTTCCTTATAAGGTCTCTTTTTTTTTCTTTTTTTTTTTTTGAGACAGTCTTGCTCTGTCCCCCAGGCTGGAGTACAGTGGCTCAATCTCGGCTCACTGCAACCTCCGCCTCCCAGGTTCAAATAATTACCCTGCCTCAGCCTCCCGAATAGCTGGGATCACAGGTGCCCACCACCATGCCTGCCTAAGATTTTTGTATTTTTAGGAGAGACAGGGTTTCACCATGCTGGCCAGGCTGGTCTCAAACTCCTGACCTCAAGTGATCCGCTCGCCTCGGCCTCCCAAAGTGCTGGGATTACAGGCATGAGCCATCGCACCTGGCCCCTTACAAGGTCTTAAATGTTATCTGAATTCAAGAGCATATTAAGGATTTAAACAGTAAATTGATAATAATTTTTCATTTCACAGATTATCACTCTGCCTCGGTTTTAACTGTGGCACCCCTTGAGATACTCACCAATCGAACATACAGTGATTCAGGAAATATACAGAGTTAATTTAAATGTATTGCAGTTTAAAATGTGAAAGATACAGAGAAGTCCTTCAAATGAATAAAATGTGAACTTTCTGCACAGTAGAGTTTAGAATGAAAAAATAATATAGCTCGTCATTCACATGTAGGAAAAATTTCCTCAGTTTGAGCAACAATCTATTTTTTCTTACATATAAATTTGAAAACAAAGCCTTCAGGATTTGACTTACCTCTGAATCAGAGTCCTTACTAGAGCACTGAGAAAGCTTTGATGCATTTGAACTCTGCAGTGAGAATTCTCCACTTTCCTGGGACTGTGAAGAACATGCCTCTTCTCGTAAGGGATGAGACTCATCGTCACTGGACTCCTCGCTCTTTAACTGCGACACATCAGACATATTATTCTCAGGCAAAGAGGTGGGGGAATCGCTCTTTCTTCGGAACTGCTGCAATGCTGTGCTTGGAGAGGGGCTCGGCGTTCTTGAAAAATCTCCAAGACCTCCAGACCAACTAAAACAACTTCTTAGTGTTCCCAAAGTGGGTGGTGAAATGGTCCTTGTAAATTTGCTGCTCTCAAAAGAGTAGGACTCTTCATCTGTAAACACTGTTGCCTTGTCTGGAATATGATCACCTGGAATATGATTATTCGGAATGTCATCACTTGAATTACGTGCTACATCTGTGTCAACCAGTCTCTTGCCTTCTTGGTCTCCATACTCTGATTCATGCAGATTGTTCTCTTTATCTGTGACAGCAGTTTCATCCAGAGGCTGGATGCTCACTTTGTTTGATACACAGTCAGTAGAATCTGAACTGCAAAAAAACCTAATAAAAAAAGCAATAGAAACAATAAGTAAGTATGAGTATTTTAGAGTTTTCTCAAGGGGTGTCAAGATTCAAAATGGAATAATCAGTTTCTTTTTGAAAAAAGTCTCATAAATATATAATTTCATAAAGGCATAAAAAATCTTAAATTTTAGTCAAAATTCAAATTTTGATTATGCCAACATTCACACATTTAGAATTCTATTTATACGATGAATTTTTAGACAGGATTTTCCTTCTTTTTTTTTTTTTTGAGACAGAGTCTCTCTCTGTCACCAGGCTGGAGTGCAGTGGCGGGATCTTGGCTCACTGCAACCTCCGCCCCCCGGGTTCAAGCAATTCTCCTGCCTCAGCCTCCTGAGTAGGTGGGATTACAGGCATGCGCCACCATGCTGGCTAATTTTGTATTTTTAGTAGAGACGGGGTTTCTCCATGTTGGTCAGGCTGGTCTCAAACTCCTGATCTCAGGTGATCCGCCCGCCTTGGCCTCACAAAGTGTTGGGATTACAGGCGTGAGCCACAGCGCCCGGCCTAGAGAGGACTTTCTAAAAGCAGTCTTCTATATACACATGTATTTGGAACTTCTGTACTTTATTTATACCTAATCATCATATAGGTGTTCTTTCCCTAAACTTTTAAACTCTCAAATAGAAGATAAACTCTGTGAGGGCAGGTACTTCCCATGTCTTTGTATCTTCCACAGTACCTAGGATGGGGCTAAAACATGGTCAAACGCATGAAAAGATATAGAAATATGCAACCAAAAGGACAATTGACAACTATTCTCTCATATTTTGTAGGAAGCAAAATTAAAGAAATTAGCTATTTACCCTTCATCTTAGCTTTGTTCCTAGCATTATATCATCTAGGAACTTGCAGTAGTATACTAATCTACCAGCTTGTTATATACCCTATAAACTTCTATACTCTTTTAAATATACAGGTTAAGACTTTCTTTCAAATCAATCATAAATTCCATATTACTAAAGAGGTATTACTTATTCAGTATAGCAGCTTTAAAAAAAAATTCCAATGAAAATGAAAGATCAGTATCATTATTGAGGAGGCAAAGAGAGTTTTTAGGTTTAACAAATATCCTATTATACATGATCAGATAAATAAAAAACTTAAAGAGAATTTACCTCCTTAATAGGCATTAGTTCAAATCCAAGATAATGAACAGAATATTTACTAAATGCTAGAGAGTAAAAATCCTTTCTATCCTTTCACCAAATCCCTAGATTAGTTGTATGGGGAGGGGGCAGGAAGCAGTACGTGGAAGAAAAGCTCTTACTAGGCTTTTCAGTAAGCAGAAAACATGAGCTCCTAGATAGGACGGCAAATTCATTTTTAAATCAACGGCAATTCCTATGATGCCCAAGTATTCTCCTACATATCATTTCACAGGCAAGAGAAGAGATAGTGACAATGCCCAGGGTTATAAAATTACTTGGCTAGCAACAAACAGAAGTAAAACTCAGAACCCTTCCCAGTTCATGGCTACTTCCTCCCAACTGGCCCATACTGTTACTTAATTGACTTGTATTTCCAGATCTCGAAAGATAAAACTGGCACGTTTCTGTGATAACTACCTACATAATAAAAATAATTAAGACTTAAAACAGGCTTCCAAAATGCAGGCAAATTGGTGACAACGTTTTACATGTTTAGTATCTCCTTTTAGTTGCATTCAATTAAAAGGAGAGGAGTGGTAATGAATGCTTGCACATATATTAATGACTAGGCATTATGGCAGGTGCTTGACACGCAGTTTCTATTTACCTTCACAACAGCCTTATGTATATAATCATCCATTTTTTATAAACAAATAGGCTCAGGGAGGTGAACAGTGTGTGAAAGACGACTCAACTAAAAAGATGACAGAGTGAGAATTCAAATCCAGGCCTATTGGATTGTATGCCGCTTCCAATCCATTATATCAACTGTGACTAGGAATCTTCCTATCACCAGTACTAACTGTACAACTTTGAGAATGCTTAACCTCTCAGAGCCTCAATCTCTTAACCTCAAATAGAGAAGATAGCAGCAATCCTATGTATCTCATAATATTGTTGTGAGAAATAGAAAAACATGTAAAATTACCTTGAAAATTAACTTTGAAAACTAATTTAATAATATCCAGTTAATTTAAAAAGAAATTTTTTTTGAGATGGAGTCTCGCTCTGTCACCCAGGCTGGAGTGCAGGGGTGCGATCTCAACTCTCTGCAACCTCCTCCTCCTGGGTTCAAGCTATTCTCCTCCCTCGGCCCCCCGAGAAGCTGGGATTACAGGCATCTGCCACTACGCCCAGCTAATTTTTGAATACTTAGTAGAGACGGGGTTTCACTATGTTGGCCAGGCTGGTCTCAAACTCCTGACCTCAGGTGATCCACCCTCCTCGGCCTCCCAGAGTGCTGAGATTATAGGTGTGAGCCTATACCCTGTCTAGTCATTATCAGATGTTGCTGTATAATGTAAGCCATAAAATGACACATCAAAGACTGACTTACTCCTGATAATTATTTCTCACAGAAAGCTGACAGAGAAAACAAATTATTTCTCTAGGTATCTCTTAATGCACCCTCTGAACAAGTTACTAGTGAAACATCTAAACTACATAAAGCAGCGATGTACAGTCTCAAACTTGAAGACTTCCTTAAGCTTCTATAATGACTAAATAGGCGAGCCCTGTAGAGACACACAAACATTCTCATTTGTTGTCTCCAAAGAAGAGCTCAACATGAAGCAGCAGCACAGGGACACTCTACTCTCACCCCAGCGGAAAAACAAAACCAAGCTAGAAAAACTGTTCCAAGTGAGAGAAGTCAACTTTCTAGAACTTTTTAATCAGTGTATTTTTTTCTTTTTTTGAGACGAAGTCTCGCTTTGTCACCCAGGCTGGAGTGCAGTGGCGTGATCTTGGCTCACTGCAACCTCCGCCTCCCGGGTTCAAGCGATTCTCCTGCCTCAGCCTCCCAAACAGCTGGGACTACTAGCGCCCGCCACCACGCCCGGCTAATTTTTTGTACTTTTAGTAGAGATGGGGTTTCACCATGTTAGCCAGGATGGTCTCGATCTCCTGACCTCATGATCCGACCGCCTTGGCCTCCCAAAGTGCTGGGATTAAAGGCATGAACCACCACGGCCGGCCCAATCAGTGTATATTATCTAGAACACTGTTCCAGTTTTGTGGCCAATTTTTCATCATTCCACTGTTAACAAGCACCTTTAACAAGGGTGACTAGCAAAAGACGAATCAAAACTATCATTTAATCATATTGTATTGCAACTGTTTCCTTGAGAAGACTCCATGGGAGAAGGGTTTGAAACATCACCCGAGGTGAGACTAAGAAACTACCAGTGGTTCATTCTTTCATGCTCTTCTCCCATCATCATGGTTAGACAAAGCTGACTGCTGCCTGATTTATTAAACTTGAAAAACAGGGCAGAGTGTGGTGACTCACGCCTGTAATCCCAGCACTTTGGGAGGACAAGGTGTATGGACCACTTGAGGTCAGGAGTTCGACACCAGCCTGGCCAAAATGGTGAAACCCCATTTCTTCTAAAAACATAAAAATTAGCTGGGCATGGTGGCGGGTGCCTGTAGTCCCAGCTACTCGGGAGGCTGAGGCAGGAGAATCACTTGAACCCGGGAGGCGGAGGTGGCAGTGAGCCGAGATGGCGCCACTGTACTCCAGCCTGGGCAACAAGAGTGGAATTCTGTCTCAAGTAAAAATAAAAATAAAAAAATAAAAAACTTGAAAAACAAAGACTATTCATTCGAAGTCTTCTAGTGGAATACAGGAGCTGGTAACTTTTCTCTCTTAGTGTTACTCTATCATGCCTAGATCACTTCTGACACTTACATTTCCTTTTTCATGTTGTGGCACCACCATCTAAAGTCAACATAATACGAGTTACTTACTGTATGTTTATCATCTATCTATAAGGCACTGCTTTAGGTGCATTACTGATAGTAACTCATTTAATCCTTTCATCGGCCCTAAGGCTGTTATAATTGTTAGTCCCAATTTTTAAAAGGAGAGAACTGAAGTATCCAGAAGTTAACTTGTCAAGTCACACATCTCACAATGAACACAACAAGATTCCAGGAAGCCTGACTCCAGGTTCTAAATTCCTAATCCACAAATTAAACTGACTCTTCACAATCTCATGATTGCTCCCAGGGACTATGGCAACAGCCCAACTGGTCCTTGTGCCCCATCTGTGGCCCTCTTCAGCCCACTCTTCACAGGGCGCTCAGAATGGTTGATCTAAAACAGAGATCAAATCATACACCACCTCCCCTGATTAAAACCCTCTCAAAGTTTCTTTTCTTTTCTATTTTTCCTGGAGGCGGAGTCTTGCACTGTCTCACCCTGGCTGGACTGCAGTGGCATGATGGTTCACTGCAACCTCCTCCCGGGTTCAAGCAATTCTCGTGTCTCAGCCTCCCAAGTAGCTGGGACTACAGGTGCACACCACCATGTCCAGCTAGGTTTTGTACTTTTAGGAAGGACGGGGTTTCCCCATTTCATCCAGGCTAGTCTCAAACTCCTGACCTCAGGTGATCCACCCACTTGGCCTCCCAAAGTGCTGGGATTATAGGCATGAGCCATCGTGCCCGGCGACCCTCTCAATGTTTCTATCGCCTCTAAAGAAGACTAAAAGTTCCCACGTTGGCATACAAGCCTTCAGTGAATGGTCTCCTGCCTATTTCTGCTCCCCTCACCACCCATCTTTCCCCAGCTTGAATTCTGACAGAGGTCATCACAGCACTGACAGACAGCAAGGAGTTGTCCTGAGCCCCATGCTGCCCCCCATCTTTACACCTTTCCTCAAGCTGTCTGACTGTACTGGGAAGGTACTTGGTGCCGGTCTTTGCCTGCTTCACCTGTCATTTAAACCTAGGCAGGGACACCCAACACTCATCCCTTCCTTCTTACCCTTTCCAACCATTGCCCCAGCATTAGATGCCCCTTGAACGCCCTCAAAACACCGTATTCATGCCTTTATCTCTGTACTCACCATACTGTATGGAAAGATTTTTATGTATTTATTTTTCCAACTGGACTACAAGCTTCTGAAAAACAAAAACTGTCTTTCTCATTTTTGAACTATAGCACCTAGCATGGCATCAGGTTCTCAATTAATATTACAGCTCCACAGTCATCTACATTAGAATATATTTCTGAAAATACTTTGCAAAATTGTATGAAGCCCTCAAAGAAAACAAAAAAGTAGAAAAAAAAGAGGGGGAAGGGAACTCCCCAAAAAAACAATTTCTGTAAAGCAAAATTAATAATAGGGGCTACAATCCTCTTTTATTCTGATTCTGTACGGAGAGATTACGAAAGTACTAGAAGTTAAAGGGGTTTATGTCAGAACTAAGACAATACATGATAAGACAGTAATCAGATTAAGGCAGGTTCTACACCTGCTTCCCTCTAGACTCAATGTTTATTCAAGGCTCATCATCACTGGCCATTAGAGAAATGCAAATCAAAACCACAATTGGGGGGAGGGAGGAGGGATAGCATTAGGAGATATACCTAATGTTAAATGATGAGTTAATGGGTGCAGCACACCAACATGGCACATGTATACATATGTGACAAACCTGCACGTTGTACACATGTACCCTAGAACTTAAAGTATAAAAAAAAAAACCCACAATGAGTTACCATCTCACGTCAGTTAGAATGGCAATCATTAAAAAGTCAGGAAACAACAGATGCTGGAGAGGATGTGGAGAAATAGGAATGCTTTTACACTGTTGGTGGGAGTGTGAATTAATTCAACCATTGTGGAAGACAGTGTGGCGACTCCTCAAGGATCTAGAACCAGAAATACCATTTGACCCAGCAATCCCATTACTGGGTATATACCCAAAGGATTATAAATCATTCTACTATAAAGACACATGCATACGTATGTTTATTGCAGCACTATTCACAATAGCAAAGACTTGGAACCAACCCAAATGCCCATCAATGATAGGCTGGGTATAGAAAATGTGGCACATATACACCATGTAATACTATGCAGTCATAAAAAACGATGAGTTCATGTCCTTTGCAGGGACATGGATGAGGCTGGAAACCATCATTCTCAGCAAACTAATACACGAACAGAAAACCAAACACCACATGTTCTCGCTCATAAATGGGAGTTGAACAATGAGAGTACATGGACACAAGGAGGGGAACATCACACACCCCGGCCTGTGGCAGGGTAGGGGGCTAGGGGAGGGATAACATTAGGAGAAATACCTAATGGAGGTGACGGGTTGATGGGTGCAGCAAATCACCATGGCACATGTATACCCATGTAACAAAACTGCACGTTCTGCACATGTACCCCAGAACTTAAAGTATAATAAATAAATTAATTCTAAAAAAAGACAAAATAAATACCAACAGAGTACATAATACAACAGACAATCAACATTCTGGAGACATAACTATACCTGCTTCTGGTCCCTGGAACCACAACTGCACCACTTTCTTCATTTTTCCTTTGTAAAAATGTTGCAAATTTATTTCTCGTCCTAGGTGGAGTGCTTACACTCTTTTTGTTAGTAGGTCCATTTACCAGGTCAGGCACAAACACTTCAGAAAAGCTCAATGATTTATTGCCTTCAGAGCTATTTTTCTTGGTCTTCTTCGTAAATGAAAGAGAATACTGACTCAACAGGTCATCTTCTGACAGCTCTGCTAAATAAAAACAAAATTATCTGTAAATCTTTGTTTCACCTGTACTTAGAGATTTGGCCTTAACTTCAGTTTATATCCCATTGTCCTAAAAATAAGGACTTTAAAAAAAAAAAAAAAAAACTATGCCTCAGAAAAGAAAACATAAGGATAAGGATGATTCAAAAAAACTCCCTTAGGTCTATTTTATAATTTCACACATTAGTTTAAGATTTAATATCAGTTGTTTATACAATTTCATGTTAAAATTACCCAAATCAAAATTTCAGAGCACAATCAATCCTGTGTGGCGATGTATTCATTATACTAAGGGTCTAATTTTGAATATAAAAAAATCTCCAGGAAAATTTATATGTAAATATATGGTTAATGATCAATCGTTAAAATGTTCCAATAAAACCAGCAGCTATTGATACACATGGTTTATGTGTTCTGGGTTTTGATGTATATTGTGAATGTCATATAGTCGTAAGTAATTTGTGCTGTAGCTCTGATCGTTATTACTTCACTATGAGGCCCAAGAAGATTGCTGTGTGTCAAATGTATTCTGTGGTATTAAAATAAATCATAAGACTAAATAATAACAAAAGTTTAAAATCTGAGACAGGTAAGTACATAGAGACAGCACTAAGGTTCTTTGAATTACTTTGACTAATTCTGAGTCTGAACAGCTCCTTCTCCACAGAGGTGTAAGTGCACACTACTATAATCTTTGTGAAGTTGGTAAGATAGGTTGGGGTTACCAAAATACCAGAAACGAGATGTCTCAAATTTTTAAAAGGCACAGATTTTTAAAAAGCTGTATCAGCAAATTAGATGTTGATCCCCAGCAAAAGTTAAATCTGTTTATTATGCAGGGAATTGTGAGTCCTTGCAGAAGAAGAAAAACAAGTGTTCCAGGGTCCCCAACAAGGCTTTCAGAAGCCACACCAGATTAACCTCATTTTTTTTTTCTCAATAAGGTTATTAGCATAGTTATTTGGGGACTCCATAAATTAAGCATATCTAGAATTTGGCAAGACATTTGAGTGTCTCTCATATCATCCTAGCCAACAATGCAAAGCCATATCTACTGTATATTAGTTATGGGGATTTGCAGCAATTGCGCAGGCCTAAAAGACTACTACTGGCAACTGTTAGTCAAAAGGAAGTCTGTCTCATATACTCCAGATTTCTGTACTTGCTCTGATTCAGTTAAACATTATATAAGCAAACGTACTGTAACCAAAACTTTAAGACTCATCAATTTCCAGATGACATACATAATATGCATTTATTAGAAAATACAAAGATTCGAACAAAAAAATTAACAGGCAGAACAATGAACTAAAATGAATTAAGATTATTGTAAGAGGAATGAGTTAACCCACATTTAAGTTTAAAATGTAACTATACCTGGCTTAACAGCAACTGGCAAATATCAATTATCAACTCAGCAAATTCCAGCAAAATGCCAGATTGCAAGAATGTGAATGCAATCTTAGTTTGCAATAATAAAAGCACAGGACTGAAACAGTGCCACAATTCTAAATATTTCTTCTGTGGTAAGCAGATCACATTTCAATAATCATACTCACTGTAACAACTAGACAATTCTTAAAAACCTATATTACATCCAGAGCACAACCTGAATGGCCAAGGAACATAATAGCCTGGAAGAGAAATTTAGGAGTGTCACAATGGCTATCTTTAAATCATCTGAAGGGCTGGTACATGAAATAGGAATTAAACTTACTCTAGTTCTTTTGTTTTGTTTTTGTGTTTGTGTGTATAGAAAGGGGACAAAACCTATTGATAAGTTGTAGTTATAGAAAAGTAGACTTAGTCTGACATAAAGAACTCGCAAACTTGCTGACAGTGAGCTAGCTACATAAAATGGACAGCGTGTCTTGATTGTAGCAGAAGAAAATGAAAGAACATGTACAGGCCAGGCGCAGTGGCTCACACCTGTATTCCCAGCACTTTGGGAGGCCCAGACGGGTGGATCACGAGGTCAGGAGTTCAAGACCAGCCTGGCCAACATGGTGAAACCCCGTCTCTACTAAAAATACAAAAATTAGCCAGGTGTGGTAGTGGACGCCTGTATCCCAGCTACTCGGGAGGCTGAGGCAGAGAATTCCTCAAACCCAGGAGATGGAGGCTGCAGTGAGCCAAGAACACGCCACTGCCCTCCAGCCTGGGTGACACAGTGACACAGTCTCAAAAAAGGAAGGAAGGAAGGAGGGAGGGAGGGAGGGAAGGAAGGAAGGAAGGAAGGAGGGAGGGAGGGAAGGAAGGAAGGAAGGAGGGAGGGAGGGAAGGAAGGAAGGAAGATGAATGTACACTGTACTTCTTATATAACAAGTATATATTATCTTATATAACATACACAAAAACCTTTTATTTCATATGAAGAAACAAAGGTTCAGAGATAATTATCATGAAAATCATTTAGGTTCATAAGGAATCAGGATATTTCGGCCGAATATGTATAATCTATGCTTAAATTTGAAAAATAAAAGCATGAACTAAAATTTGCAAGTCTTTGTTTTATTTTTATTGTTGCTATTTCATTCACCGATGTAGATGTCTGAGGGAAGGAAGTTAAGAGAGAAGGAAGCAATTATAATCATTCTTTTCATTTTAAACATCCTCTATGGTGAAAAAATTCCCACGTTTCCCCAATACCTAGTATATTCCTCTCAGCACTTCTGTTCAATATTGTACTACAGATTCTAGTTTCCTTCCCCATTTAATTGTCTTGGCACATCTGTTCAAAATCAGCTGACCACATATATGTGGATCTTTTTCTGAACTCTATTATTCTGCACCATTGCTCTCCTTACCTATCTTTACATCAGATACACTGTTACATCACACACTGTGGCTCATAGGAAATCTTGAAGTCAGGCAGTATAATCTTGAAATCAGGCAGTTCAAAAGAAAACAAGCTTAGATTCTTATACTAAGAAAAAGAAATAAAAGGTATTTAAACTGGAAAAGGAGAAGCAAGATTGTCTTTATTCATAGGTGACACAGTCATTTATATAGAAAATCCTACATAGTCCACAAAAGAGATACTAGAACTAATACGTGACGTGAGCAAGGTTGCAAATATATGATTAATGTACAAAAATCAATGGTATTTCTATATACCATCAATGAACAACTAGAAAACAAAACTGAAAATACTATTTACAGCAGCATCAAAAATCGAAATATAAAGATAATTTGACAACAGATATGTTAAGATCTGTACAATGAAAGCTACAAAGCATTAAAGACTTAAATGAATGAATCAGAAAACTCAGTATTGTTAAAATGTCCACTTTCTCCAAATTGATGTATGGATTTAACTAACTCTCAATAGACTTTTTACTTTTTATTTGAGACAGGGTATTGTTCTGTCACTCAGGCTGGGGCGCAGTGATGTGGCCATGGCTCACTGCAGCCTCCAACTCTGAGGCTCGAGCGATCCTCCCACCTCAGCCTCCTGAATAGATGGGACTACAGACACACGTCACCACATTTGACTAATGTTTAAAAAATTTCTTTTGTATTTATTTTTTGTTTTACGATAATGTATTCTGAACTAGTAAGACCCTTTGAGCAGAGAAGCTGCAGCTTTGGAGAATAACCAGCTGACAGCTTTCTTAATTTTTTTTTTTTTTTTTTTTTTTTGAGATGGATTCTTTCTCTGGCGCCCAGGCTGGAGTGCACTGCGTGATCTCCGCTCACTGCAACCTCTGCCTTCCAGGTTCAAGTGATTCCCCTGTCTCAGCCTCACAAGTAGCTGGGATTACAAATGTGTGCCACCATGCCTGGCTAATTTTTTGTATTTTTAATAGAGATGGGGTTTTGCCATGTTGGCCAGGCTGGTCTGGAGCACCTGACCTCAAGTGATCTGCCTGCCTCGGCCTCCCAAAGTGCTGGGATTATAGGTGTGAGCCACCGCACCCGGCCTTAAAAATTTTTTTTGTGGAGACAGGGTCTCAGTGTGTTGCCAAGCCTGGTCTTGAACTCCTAGGCTCAAGCAATCCACCTGCCTTGGCCTCCCAAAACGTTGCAGTTGTAGGTGCAAACCACCATGCCTGACCTTTTTTTTTTTAGAAATTAAAAAGCTAAATTCTAAAATGTACATGGAAACGTGAAAAACACAGAATAGCCAAAACAACTTTTCAAAAGAAAACTAACTTGAGACTTACACTGCCCCGCTTCAAGATTTTCTATAAAGCCACAGTAATCAAGAATGTGTCTGATGTAAAGATAAGTAAGGAGAGCAATGGTATAGAATAACAGAGTTCAGAAAAAGATCCACATATATGTGGTCAGCTGATTTTAAACAGCTGTGCCAAGGCAATTAAATGGGGAAAGGAAAACTTTTTAACAAAGGGTGCTGGAACAATTGGACAGCCATATATACAAGATTAAAAAAAAAAGCCATAATCCTTACATCACATCGTATTAAAAAAACTAACTCAAAATGGCTCACAGGCTAAAACTGTAAAATGTAAGAGCTAAAACTAATGATAATGTTTGGCTGTGTCCCCACCCAAATCTCATCTTGAATTGTATCTCCCATAATTCCTATGTGTTGTGGGAGGGACCTGGTGGGAGATAACTGAATCATGGTGGCCGTTTCCCCCATACTGTTCTTATAGTAGTGAATAAGTCTCATGAGATCTGATGGTTTTATAAGGGAAAACCCTTTCACTTGGCTCTCATTCTTCTCGTTTGCTACCATGTGAGAAGTGCCTTTCACCTTCCACCATAATTGTGAGGCCTCCCCAGCTACATGGAACTGTGCGTCCATTAAACCTCTTTCTTTTGTAAATTGCCCAGTCTCAGGTATGTGTTTATCAGCAGGGTGAAAATGGACTAATACAACTATAAAACTTCTAGGAGAAAACAGGAGAAAATCTTCGCGACTTTGCGTTGGGCAATGATTTCTTTAAATATGACCAATATTCACCAGCATTTTGCAAAACTGAAATACGTACCACTTCTTGGTCTTTTCACAATGGATGATTTCCTTGGGAGATTTAACCCTTTAGTACTAATCACTCGTTCCACTCCCACAGTACTTGGATTTTCCTTCAATTGTGGGGCATCTGAAACAGTACCCGACTCTGGTCTGGGAGAGTAATTCCTATGCCAAATGCTGCTAACATTAGCTGACTTTTGACATGTTTTGTCATCCCAACTATGACTTCTTGAATGGGCAGGCTAGAAAAGGAAAAGGAAAAAGATTATTTGCAGAAAGAAAATAATCAATTTATTTCCTTCTGTATCAACATAAATTATAAATAAACATCTTAAGTTACCCTTAAAAACAATAGCTGTTGATGAAACAGCTGTCCTTGAATAACATTTCCTACTTTGCTGGTCCTATACTTTTCCATTAAATGTGTCTTATATTCCTAGGCCTGTTTTTCTTCTGATGAGAGTCAAGCAACTTTGTTAGCTCATTTCTAAAAAAAAAAAAAAAAAAAATCAAGAGTTGCTAGCAGCTGTAGAAAAAAAAGATTAAAAGTAAATAAATAAATAAATAAATAAAAATCTTCGTAATACAAATGGTGCAAGAAATAAGACCACAACTGAAGAAATGTGGTCAGGAAAACGGTGTCTTTTAAATGGAAAGCAGCCAGGCACGGTGGCTCACGCCTATAATCCCAGCAATTTGGGAGGCTGAGGCAGGCGGATCACTTGAGGTCAGGAGCTCGAGACCAGCCTTGCCAACATGGTGAAACCCTGCCACTACTAAAAGTACAAAAATTAGCCAGGTGTGGTGGCGTGTGCCTGTAATCCCAGCTACTTGGGAGGTTGAGGCAGGAGAATCACTTGAACCCAGGAGGCAGAGGTTGCAGTGAGCCGAGGGAGACTCCGTCTCAAAAACAAACAAACAAAAAAGGAAAGCAATCACTTTTAATGCTAATATAAGTTATTCACAATTACTACAAATTTTGGAAGACAATGATCTGCTAAGAGGATGTCAATGATATTCTAACAGAGAAGGACAGCCAAAGGGAAAAAATTAGCAAAGACACAAAAAAAATCATTACAATCCCACCTGACAAAAATCCCACATGAACTCAGAATCTAATCAAAGCCTTTCACTTAAAGAAAGGACAAAAATAAAAATAAATAAAACCGGTGACATTATTCAGAATACCCTTTGAGAATTAATAAGGAAGGTAATTTAATTGAGGG
This sequence comes from Homo sapiens, assembly GCF_000001405.40. Taxonomy (NCBI): domain Eukaryota; kingdom Metazoa; phylum Chordata; class Mammalia; order Primates; family Hominidae; genus Homo; species Homo sapiens. The sequence continues at coordinate 241,865,845 of NC_000001.11, read as the reverse complement.
AACGAATATAAAAAGATAGCTTTATCAGTATGGCTCATGGCATTAGATCCCACTGATGGTTTTACTAAATAAGAAAGAGAAATAGACAAGTAGAAAACCAGACTAAATAAATTTTAGATAAATAAAAATAACTCATTTGGTGTACAATTATGGTTCCTATAGAAATTTCTCTATGAGAAGGACAAAATTCTGACAGGAATTTGAGCTGATGAAGGATGGCCATCTTAGCATTCCATAACATTACAATTGGTAATGGGACATACTCAACACTGTCAACTATTTTTGAGTTTCTGAGACAAAGGAAAAGCTTAAGAATCATTCTTAATGAAATTATAGGCCAGGCATGGTGGCTCACACCTGTAATCCCAGCACTTTGGGAGGCTGAGGCAGGTGGATCACCTGAGGTCAGGAGTTTGAGACCAGCCTGACCAATATGATGAAACCCCATCTCTACTAAAATACAAAAATCAGCCGGGCGTGGTGGCACATGCATGTAATTCCAGCTAGTTGGGAGCCTGAGGCAGGAGAACCACTTGAAACTCGGAGGCAGACGTTGCAGTGAGCTAAAATCATGCCACCGCGTGCCAGCCTGGGCAAGAGAGAGAGATTCTGTTCAAAAAAAAAAAAAAAGAGATATTCAAGTCAAAAAATATATATATATATATATAATGCTGTGGCCAGGTGTGGTGGCTCCACATGTGTAACCTCAGAAGTTTTGGAGGCCAAGGCAGAATGACTGCTTCAGGCCAGGAGTTCAAGACTAGCCTGGGCAACATAGTGAGACCCCCCCCCCACACACACAAAATTAGCCAGGCATGGTGGCATGTGCCTGTAGTTCCAGCTACTCAAGAGGCTTGATGCCAGTTACTGAAGATCGCTTGAGCCCAGGAGCTCTGATGGTGCCACTGCACTCCAGCCTGGAGGACAGAGAAAGAGACCCTGTCTCAAATTTAAAAAAAAAAAAAAAGAAAGAAAGAAATGATAAATACTGTCAATAGTTCAGCTGTGTAAAGATAGCACTTTTCAGTCTCCTTCTTTCCATAATCATTCCTCAAAACAATAAGAAACACAAAATTAACCTGCAAAAAAATTAGGAGATAATCTGTGACTTCTAAACCACGGTGAAGATAGAACATAGATGGAAGAAATTAAAAGACTTTGTCTGCAGAAGAGAATATCAAAGAGAAGCCAATTCCACCTACAGAAACCTGGAGAAAGGCTCAAGAATTAAAGTCTTGGAATTACAGAAGCCCCTGGTGGGGGAATGACTAACGAAAGAGAGAATTATTTGACCCTGTGTCCCCATCTCCAACCTGACTATACAGTCAACAAACATCTACCTGCCTTCAGAACCAGAACAATTGAACTTTTGAAACCCACAAAGAGTAACAGACATAGCAGGCATTTCTGAAGATAGATTCATTTGTCTGAAAACAGAGATGAAACAAAAGGCTAAATATTGAATGGCAAGGAACCATGCTACCCTTTCCTGGCCTGCCCCAACTCACTTTCCCTATCCTGCTTTCAAAATACAGACAGCCAAAGTTTAGATACCCTAAGCAGACATCTCTTTTTGGAAAAATGTAACTGTGCAGAGAACATTCCAACATTGGAGAATTCACAAATCAAATCCAATGTGTTACCAACCACATCATCCAAGAATGAAGTCCAACATCATAAGCCCCACTCATTCACACAATGTTCCCCATGAGCTTTTCGGGGCCCCTTCAAATATGACTGGCCAGAAGTTACCACCATGAGGGAGAAAATATCAACACAGGAAAAAGGTACACAGCAGTTACAGAGAGCGGAAGAAAACGTTCAAAAAATTATCATATTCTGAGAAAGATAAGAGATGACATCTAAATCTTCAAAAAAAAGTACAATTAAAGAGTCCCTAGATATAAAAATATGATAGTAGAAGTAAAGAATTCAGCAGAATTTCCTGCACTGATAGAAAAGCTCTGTGCTGTCCACTATGTTAGCCACTAACCACTAAGCACTTGAAAGCTGGCTACTATAACTAAGGAAGTAAAATAGCAATTGTATTTAATTTTAACAAATTTAAATAGCCACACATGGCTAGTGGCTACCGTATTACATGGAGCAAGGTTAGAAAATAGGGGAATAGCAACCTGAGTGTAAGGTTTACATCACTGAAGCTGATAAAGTTCATTTTTAGGGTCGTTATAGATTTGTGCTCTCTTGGTAGGCTTGGCTTATTTCAGCTTACAGTAATGGTTACTTTTCCATGCTGAATGGATCACCAGTTTGTTAGTGGTCATCTTTTCCAGGCTCACTTCTTTTTTTCTCAAGATCTGGTTCCTTTACATGGTAAACACTAAGATATTCTTAGCCCATCCATAATGAACAATCTAAGAGTTCCCTTAATATATCACTTTTTTCTACATACGCTTTTTTTGTTTTTTTTTTTTTTAGCCTGGAATCACCCATCTTGAAAAACTCTACTAATCCTTGCAAACTGAGGATACACATCAGTTTCTCTTTCAGCAGACAGTAGAGAACTTGGCTTGGAATCACAGCTCCCCTATTTACGAAAATGGTCAGCTGGAAAAGTTACTTAAGTGTCCTCTAATTGTTTCCTCATCTGTAAAATGAGAATGGTGCTGACTTCAGAGGCTTTCTGAAGAGTAAATGACTTACTATGTCTAAGGTGCTTAAAAGAGCACCTGGAAAGTAGCAAATGCTCAGAAAATGTTTGCCATTATTATTAGGAAGCATTCTCTTAGGTGGAGTGAGGGACATGCTTTTTATTTCCACAGAGCCTGGAATACCTCTTTAGCGTAGCACTTACCGCATTTCTTTCTATAGAATCCCTTCTCCTTCCTATTTAGGCAATGGGCATTTGACAGGCAAGGATCTTACTTTTCCTGTATTTCTTATTTTTCTTTATATTCCAGAACCCTAGCTAACCTAATTACATTGTTTCAGTGCTTGATAAATGTTTAGTAAAGGAATAAATTAGTGAGCAAGAATTAAACTGGAAGCTTGGGAAAAGAAGAAAATGTTAACCAGAAGGACAACTCAAAGAGGCAAGAGGATGTAGCAACGAAATGGAAGCCAAAGTTTATTTCCAAGTTTTCCAGTGTGAGAACAAAAGAGACCTGTGGCTAACACTCATTCACTCAACATATAAACATAGTAAATATCATACAGCAGTGAGGATCACCAAGTTCTGCCTTTATGAAGACCACATTCTATTGGAAAGAATCAGAAAAGAATAGAAGCATGTTATACAGTAATAAGTGCTAAGTAGGAAATAAAAGAGAAATGTGATTAAAAGTTGATTAAAAACATGAAGAGTTTAGTTTTGCCTATAAATAGACTTGGAGGCTACAGGAAATCAGAGACGCAAGAGACAGTGAGAATTCTGTGGTTGGTGCACAGGCGAGAGACTGGAGTAAAGATGGAGATGTGAGTTCTTTACGTAAATGGGATTAAAGCCCTAAGGACTTACCTAAGGAAGAAATGTAAACAGAAAAGAGAACAGAGGATAAACAGAAATACAAAGAGAAAGACAATGATGGGAGACAGTATCTTAAGGAATACATACAATACTGAAGAAGCAGAAGAAAACAGCAAATCGCGGCTAGGAGTGGTGGCTCACGCCTGTAATCCCAGCGCTTTGGGAGGCCGAGGTGGGCAGATCACCCGAGGTTGGGAGTTCCAGACCAGCCTGGCCAACATGCAGAAATCCTGTCTCTACTAAAAATACAAAATTAGCCGGGCGTGGTGGTGCATGCCTGTAATCCTAGCTACCCAGGAGGCTGAGGCAGGAGAATTGCTCGAACCTGGGAGGCGGAGGTTGTGGTGAGCTGAGATCGCACCATTGCACTCCAGCCTGGGCAACAAGAATGAAACTCTGTCTCAAAAAAGAAAAATAAAAGAAAACAGCAAATTGTTTAAAGAAACAGCAGGGGCGTGCATTAAATATTTGTTAAATTGTGCATGAGTGAAAAAACAGCTTTAACTCCCGTAGCATTCCTAGGCTTGGGTCTTCAATGATGCCAAATGCCACAGAAGCCGAACGGAGTGAGATGAGAAAAAAAGGCATCAAATGCTTGGTATATTCAAATGAAATGCTCAAGGATAAGGGTTTGATAATAAATAACAGTCACTTCTTAATTTTAAAAAATTAACCAATATACCTATGCTCTAATACATGTAATTTCTCTAGGATCAAGTTGTTTTTAATGTACATTCTGCACAGAGCCTGGATATAGAAACGCTTAAAAGAAGCTTAGTGTATGAAGATTTGCCTTTAATCACAGCTCGGGACATAACTAAAACGTGTTTTCATAGGGTGGTCATCAAAACGTTACCATAGCAGTGTCTGGATTGTAGTCATCGATCTGTTCAAAAGTATTTATATCTTTATTTCCAAGTGCTATTTGAAGAGCTATGGAATCATCAACATATCTAGATTAGCAAGATTAAGGAAAAATGTATTTATTAACAACCAACCAAATGATATTATACTAAGATGGAAAAATGTTTTCTATTGTCACGAAAATCCATAGGTTTATGACTTAAATGGAGTCTCCTTACTTTATACATCAGCATTACTGAAAGCAGACACAGTTTGCTAGTCTCTATCTGTCTCTGCAGGAGTTGGTGTCTTCTGACGAGGGCCCAGGCCATCACTGACTCCCTGCCTTTAAGGGAAACAGAGGGGAAAGTCCTAGCCACCACCTAAGTGACTCAGGGCTCTGCATCAGCCTGCATGTACATGGCCAGTGGCTATGGGAAGGGCATCCTCTCCTGATGCACTCAAATGCCCAGAATGCTCTTCCTGATAAGTCGAGCTTGCTTGCCACGAGGAGGTCCTCTCAAGAGCCACCTTTGGAATGTGTACCGTAAGTGACGGACCCTGTGCATGCTACTGTCAGTCAATCTAAGTAATCAGGATGCATAGTGGATGAGCCTCGGGTTTATAAACAAAAAGTTGTTCTCAATTTTCACTAGCATGGTAATTTAAATGAACAATATACAGATTTCACTATAAAAAAGAGAGCAAAAAATAATGTGCAAGCTTTTTACTAAATGCCTCACAAAAAAATCACCATAAAAATATTGAAGAAAAATGCACAAATTCTACCATTCTGTTTCAGAAAGGATACTGCCCAGCGTAGCTTAGTGTTTCAGGATCAACATCATCTTCATAGGCGTTCAGAGGAATAAGTTTCCTTTTGATGGGATCAAAAACTAGCTGATAGAGGAAGGTATTGTTGGCCCGAATAAACCCGTTGATGTAATCCTCTGGTACCGTGATATTCATCTTGAGATAATGTCCAATTTTCTTGATAACCTAACAATGCATGCAAAAATATTTTATCTGCAACTAAAGAACAGGGAACATATTATCCTCAAGGCTGATTGATTTACATTCATAAAGAGGGATTGAAACATTAACTGCTTTCATCTACATTAAAAAATTCTACCAGCTAACACAACCATGTTACATCACTTAAAATTCTAAGTCTCATAACTAGTATTTTCTTTGGTTTTTCTATTACTAATTTGAAGGATAAAAAAATACAGTTATATAGTACATCAAGTTTGTGCTTCTAGGTGTAACTTTGAGATACATTATCCATTCATCTTCAAAGTCCTTTTTATCAAGAAAGGAAAAAAAAAGAACATCCAAAATCTGAGAATTAAAAAAATGCAAATATTTCTAGATCATATTTTTAAACCAAGTTGACATTCTGATTTCTGTGAGAGTCATGGATGCTTAAAGCTGGAAAGGATCCTAAACATTGCATAGTAAATTCATAGATGAAAAAGGGAAGGCCCAGAGAACCAAACGGATCCTGGAGTCACAGGCTAGTTAAGGCACGTGGTCCTATTCCCACCTGGGACACTATCTTCCAACCTAGAGATCTTTCCATTACATGACATCACTCTTAGTCCTGAGGACTCAGGCCTTATACTCCTGGAAATAGAAAAATGAAATTTCTGCTCTGCAAACTGTTAAGGGTTTAGAGAATATCCAAGGGGGAAAATGAGCTTCTTTGATGTTTATTTTTTAAGACAAACTACAAAGTAGCAATGTCCAGAGTCTCAGAATTTTCCAGATGATATATGATACATGGTATCAAATGAGGCTTAATAAGGCAGCAGATACAGGTTGGGTACACATTATCCAAAATGCTTGGCACCAGAAGTGTTTCAGATTTTGAATTTTTTCAGATTTTGGAATATTTGCATATACACGTTATGAGATAACTTAGGGATGGGGCCCAAGTCTAAACATAAAATCCATTTACGTTTCCACACACTGACAGCAAGAGGGTGAAGAAGAAAAAAAACTCAATTTATGTTTCATATAAGCCTTACACACATAGACTGAAGGTAATTTTATACAGTATTTTTAATTATTTTGTGTACTCTTCACATGAGATCAGGTGTGGAATTTTTCACTTGCCTGCCGGGACTCAAAAAGTTTTGGATTTTTGAACATTTCAGATTTTTGGATTAGGGATGTTCAACTTGTATACGAACACAGCTGTCTTCTATTAGGCCACATTAAAGAGATTTGCATAAATGTATGATTCCTCTCTCTCATAATTTTTGTTTTAAAAAATGATTATTTTTCATAAAAGCATGCTATTTATGCTAACATGTAATGAGTTTATTATAAAGTTTAAGTGAATTGATAAACATTTAAATTTTTGTTTTAATTTTTAATTCAGTAAATATCAATAGCTATCGCCTACATAAACAAAAAATATTACCATAAAGGAGCTTGAGGAGTGTAAAGGGATCCTGCGACCAAACAGTTTGAGAACCACTACTATAGAGTTATAGCACAGAAGTCAAAAGACTCCGAGTTTAATTTTACCCTAGAATATTTTCTCCTTGAGCCTCTTTATACTAGTCTTTGTTTTAAAAATCACTACTTTTTTGCCAATTGCAGAAAACATGATTTTCCCAATATATGTTAGTTGCTAAGGCAAAGTTCTAGTGCCTCAGTCATTTGCTCCTTTTAATAATATAATATAGGTTATTCGCATAACAGAATATTTAAATCCATATTATGATTTATTATTTTATTAAGGAAATGCTTCAGAAATTGAATATGACACTTAGCAAATCACTCTTACCTTTACTATATCTGGATTATTGGCTAGTCTTAGGACTTTGCATGCCTTTGCTAATCCAATCCCACGCAGTGATGACAGGTAGTCACAACCTGAAAGAATACACATGTAACGAAACTTCTCTTCCGTGAATACATCCCCAAGCTGTCTGCACATTCCTAGCCGAGCTTGATCAATTTCAAGTCCATTTCCAAACTGGTCCATCTTTAAAATTACCTTCAAAAGGAAGGGAAATTGTTAATACCTAGAAGGGCCACTTTTGTCATTATCTAATCCACTGCAATAATTTTAAGAAATCTTTCTTGTTCTTCACCATAACACTGAAAGACAGGAGACATAGATAGACAGGCTGATGATTACTAAGTTTACAAATAAAGTATGCTGAAGCATAGGATATGACTAGACAAGGCTATACAGCTAGGACTCAACTGTCACAATTCTGGTATAAAGCAAGCTCTTTTTGCATCTCTTTATTTCCTACTTGTGTTACAGGGTTGTCATGATAATCAAACAGTAATGCATACGAAAAACATTTTCTCTTTCTCTGTCACTTGTACCTTTTAAGTAATCTTTTTCCTTATTATTGAAGCAATTCATGTTTATTGTAGAAAATTTGGAAAATATAGAAATTCAGGAAGAAAACAAGTCATCCCTATTCCCTCATTTATCACTGTAACCTAGTATTAACCTTTTGATAGAGACCCTTCTAGTCATAAATATAGGCATTAACAAAAATGAGAACATCCTGTAGTTTTGTATCTTAATTCTCCCCTAAATAAAGTTTTCCATGAAATAGTTTTATACATAATTCTAAATAACTGCATGGCAACCCTTTAGTACATAAGTTAGTATACCTAACCTAATCAAGAAATATAAAGCATATGTTGTCATTATTAAAAAATAAAACTGGTACGTCCACATTCTACTAAAGAATCTGCATAAAACAATAACAAACCCCTCCAACCTTAAGGGCTTACTTTGAAAAAGTATCCACATTACACAAACATCAAGCAGCAAAACCCTTCTTTTCATTTTAAATAATTATTAACATTATAAAAATAGATGTCAGTTGCAAATATCTATTAAATACAATAATTTACCTTGTAATATTTTATAAATATTATAAATTTTATAAATATTATAAATTATCATAATTTCCTGGACAGGAAAAATTTCAGCTCCTTGATTTACACTACTATCTACATAGAAAAGTAATATATAGTAGTCAGAGGTGAGTACCTTTTTACAGCCAAAAGCTAGGAGATCCGAGTCCTCTGTAATTATGGCTTGCACAATTCCCGCTTTGTTAAGATAGGCCAACTGCGCATCAGCTTCATAGGGAGCCACGAGGCAATCTACCCCCTGAGACCGGGCAGCCTAGAAGAGAGAATCACAGTGAATCTCTAGCACGGCATCTGGAAAGTACTAAACAACTTCCTGTTTCAAACCCACTTTATTACTAGCCTCAGCAGGCACATGCTAATATTACTTTGAGAAATCATTTCCTTTGAAGTAGAGTTTTTCTACTGTAAGTTTTAGTATATGTTGAACTAATTATATAGCCATTAAGACATTTTTAAAAAATCAACTTATAAAATTTGGAGAAAAGAAATACTGCTACACAGCCAGAGGAAAAAAGAATCCTACAAGTTACAAAAGTAATCATTTTATTTTTTGGAGACAGGGTCTGGCTCTGTCACCCAGGCTGGAGTGGCAGTGGTGCCAGCCGGCAGGGCACACTGCAGCTTCGACCTCCTGGGCTCTGGGCTCAGGTGATCTTCCCACCTCAGCCTCCCGAGTAGGTGGGACTACAGGTGCATGCCACCATGCCCAACTAATTTTTTTGTATTTTTTGTAGAGACAAGGTTTTGCCATGTTGTCTAGGCTGGTCTCAAACTCCTGGACTCAAGTGATCCACTCGCTTCAGCTTCCCAAAGTGTTGGCATTGTAAGCGTTCAGCCATTGTGCCTGGCCCACTTATTTTAAATTATAGAAAACTTCCATCTTAAGAATGGCTATGTTCCGAAAATATACATTTGTTTGGAGTTTTGAATATATCTTCCCCATAAAAATAACAGGTTGTCCTGTCAAGCTACGAAAGTCAATGTACTGACACAGTATTGATAAAATTATAGACCATATCCAGCAATGTCTTGGGGGGAAAATATATACGTAGGTATATGTGTGTATACATATACACACACACGTATATATACACACATACATAACTCTCCTCTAATAATGTATCTTACATATATATTATAGGCTATAGCACTATATTTAAACCAATGCATTATGAGAAAATACTTTTAAAATAAACTTGCCAAGAAAAACAGCCCCTATCATAGCCGCTGTGTCAAAATCTAGGCAGCTGGAACTGGAACTTCCATGTTCTAAACTATGGGAAAATGGTTCCCAAGGCCTGAAGACAGGCTTTGGGAAGTTAAAAAAAAAAAAAGAAAAAAAGAAAAAAAGAGGAAAGAGGTATCAAGATCCTGCTGCTATCAATTTTGGTAACAATTTGCTATTTTTCTCATTTTTTTTCCTTTTTTGGTCCAGCAATAGTCCTACTCTCATCCTTTTGAGAAGTGACAGCGTGCTGGCAGTACTCATAGCCCTCCCTCGCTCTCGGCGCCTCCTCTGCCTGGGCTCCCACTTTGGCGGCACTTGAGCCCTTCAGCCCACCGCTGCTCTGTGGGAGCCCCTTTCTGGGCTGGCCAAGGCCGGAGCCCACTCCCTCAGCTTACAGGGAGGTGTGGAGGGAGAGGCGCCAGCGAGAACTGGGGCTGCGCGCGGTGCTTGCGGGCCAGCTGGAGTTCCGGGTGGGCGTGGGCTTGGCGGCCCCGCACTCAGAGCAGCCGGCCGGCCCTGTCGGCCCCAGGCAATGAGGGCTTAGCACCCGGGCCAGCGGCTGCGGAGGATGTACTGGGTCCCCCAGCAGTGCCGGCCCACCGGCGCTGCGCTCTATTTCTCGCGGGGCCTTAGCTGCCTTCCTGCGGGGCAGGACTCGGGACTGCAGCCCGCCATGCCTGAGCCTCCCACCCCCTCCGTGGGCTCCTGTGCCGCCCGAGCCTCCCCAACGAGCACCACCCCCTGCTCCACGGCGCCCAGTCTCATCCACCACCCAAGGGCTGAGGAGTGCGGGCAGACGGCGCAGGACTGACAGGCAGCTTCACCTGCAGCCCCGTGCGGGATCCACTGGGTGAAGCCAGCTGGGCTCCTGAGTCTGGTGGGGCCTTGGAGAATCTTTACGTCTAGCTCAGGGATTGTAAATACACCAATCGGCACTCTGTATCTAGCTCAAGGTTTGTAAACACACCAATCAGCACCCTGTGTCTAGCTCAGGGTTTGTGAATGCACCAATAGACACTCTGTATCTAGCTGCTCTGGTGGGGCCTTGGAGAACCTTTGTGTAGACACTGTATCTAACTAATCTGATGGGGACAGTGGAGAATCTTTGTGTCCAGCTCAGGGATTGTAAACGCACCAATCAGCACCCTGTCAAAACAGACCACTCGGTTCTACCAATCAGCAGGATGTGGGTGGGGCCAGATAAGAGAATAAAAGCTGGCTGCCCCAGCCAGCAGTGGCAACCCACTTAGGTCCCCTTCCACACCATGGAAGCTTTGTTCTTTCGCTCTTTGCAATACATCTTGCTACTGCTCACTCTTTGGGTCCACGCTGCTTTTATGAGCTGTAACACTCACCGCAAAGGTCTGCAGCTTCACTCCTAAAGCCAGCAAGACCGCGAGCCCCCAGGGAGGAACGAACAACTCCAGACGCGCTGCCTTAAGAGCTGTAACACTCACCGCAAAGGTCTGCAGCTTCACTTCTGAGCCAGCGAGACCATGAACCCACCAGAAGGAAGAAACTCCGAACACATCCTAACATCAGAAGGAATAAACTCCAGACACGCCACCTTAAGAGCTGTAACACTCACCGCGAGGGTCTGCGGCTTCATTCTTGAAGTCAGTGAGGCCAAGAACCCACCAATTCTGGACACACTTTTACACCACTATTTGTGTCCAATCAGGGTTTCTCCTCTACTTCCGCACACAATGCAGCCTCTCTTCTCCTGACTACACAGAGCACACATTTCTTTATACTTCACGCTCTGTCCTGCATCGCATCGTTTCCTTCTAGCTTGACCCATACAGAAAAGAGCCAGAGACTCAAATGACAAAGCCAAAATCAGAAGTGTAGCGCCTATTTTAGCTCAGGAACTGGATGACAGAACTGTAAGCTAGAAAAAGCTGACTTCACCTTTACCATCATACCTTTAACAGGCCAGGTACGGTGGCTCACACCTGTAATCCGAGCACTTTGGGAGGCCAAGGTGGGCAGATCACCTGAGATTGGGAGTTCGAGCCCAGCGTGACCAATATGGAGAAACCCCATCTCTACTAAAAATACAAAAGTAGCCGGGCGTGGTGGCACATGCCTGTAATCCCAGCTACTTGGGAGGCTGAGGCAGGAGAATCGCTTTAACCCGGGAGGCAGAGGTTGCAGTGAGCCCACATCGTGCCATTGCACTCCAGCCTGGGCAACAAGAGTGAAACTCCGCCTCAAAACAAACAAACGAACAAAAAAACCACAACACCTTAACCAAGCAGGCTCTAAAAAGGGGAAAGTGAGGGCTGGGAATGTGGGCACCTTGACACTAAGATTTACAGGAATAAGGAAAGAAGCTGCTGCAAGGAGGAGGTGAAAGGGAACAGAAGTCTGTAGGGTGCCTGGGGCAACGAAGCTACATCACAGATCTGTCATTCAAGAGTGCCGGTTACAGTAAGTGTTGAAGACTGTAGGAGAGTTGGGTGAGACCGATGCCTCCAGGAATTTGTTCCTTCCATCTCTTCATTTTTTTAAGTTTTAATAGAGACAGGGTCTCATTATGTTACCCGGGATGGTCTCAAATTCCTGAGCTCAAATGACCCTCCTGCCTCAGCGTCCCAAACTGCTGGGATTACTGGTGTGAGCCACCGTGCCTGGCCCTGTTCCTTCCATTGCTATGGAATAACATGACTTAAAAGAGAGAGCCTTACTTATGCCTTAGGATTTCTCCTTGGAAATTGCTGAAGTCTTCTCTATCTAGTGATGCTGTTCCCTTCTCCTTCTGACATCTGCCCTTTACTTGAGGTTAGGCCTAGAACAATTTTCCACCCTTGATTTTCTTCCTCTCCCATCAATAAACAAGTTGTAACTAGCTTTGGTGAACTTGCCCATCTGCCCCTTTGTCTTACTTTAATTACTTTGTGGGCCATGGCATGTGTGATATTGATAGACCGGGTGAAACACTCTCGAGCTTCCGAGACTTTCCCCTCACGAAGAAGTTGCTTTCCCTTAAGAAGATTGGCTTGTCGTCTTCTGCAAGGGAAGAACATTTTTTAAATATAAAACATTTAAGAGGCTGACTCAAGAAACTGTAACAGAACTGTAATTCAAGAAGCTTTCCTAGAACTGAAAAAAGTTTTTGACTCATTAGAAAGTACACACCAGGCCCTTGAGAACATTAACCCAGATGCTTTAGGCTTCTAAGGCAAAAAGAACAAGTGACTTAGAATGATTATATGCACACACACACACACAAGATTACCATTAGGCTTTTCCACAGCAATTCTTTTTGTCAAAGAAAATGTAGTAACGAAGATACTTTTAAACAAAAGTGATAATGTAGCAGATACATAACATTTAAGGAAATCTGTTCACATACTAGGCTATAAAATAAGCCTCAACAAATTAAAATTTTATTTATTAATTTTTTTTTAGGCCAGGCACAGTGGCTCATGCCTGTAATTCCAGCACTTTAGGAGGCTGAGGCGGGCAGATCACTTGAGGCCAGGAGTTTGAGACCAGCCTGGCCAACAGGGCAAAACCCCATCTCTACTAAAAACACAAAAATTAGCCGGGTGTGGTGGCACGTGCCTGTAGTCCCAGCTACTCGGGAGGCTGAGGCACAAGAATTGCTTGAATCCGGGAGGTGGAGTTTCCAGCGAGCCAAGATTATACCACTGCACTCTAGACTGGGCGACAGAGTGAGACTGTCAAAAAATAAAGATAAAATTGTTAGTGACGGGGTCTCACTATGTTGCCCAGGCTGGAGTACAGTGGCTCTTCACAGCGATGATCATAGGGTACTAAGGTGCTGAACTCCTGGGCTCAAGTGATCCTCTTGCCTCAACCTCCCGAGTACCTAGGACAACAGGTGCAAGCCACTGAGCCTGGCTTAAAATTTTAAAAATTGGTATCATATAGACTACAGTGTCTGACCTTAGTGCAATGAAGTTAGAGATTAAGTAGAGAATTAACTTACTCTCTTCTAGATCTCTCTACTTCCTTTTTAGAAGGTAAAGTACATCCATCAAATACGAGAATAGGCTTGATCCCATGAGATAGTAACATATTTACAAATTTCATACAAAATCCTACATACCTATGGAAAAAAAGAAAAACATTCAGTGCTTCACCTTTCTTAAGGTAATACTTCTGCTCTATTTTAGGCCAGATGAGAAAACTATGGAAAGAGAAGGTTTTTTATTTTGTTATTTTAAGCAGATGTTTTCATAGGAATTGGAACTCTAACTTACTAGACTTGGATTCAAATCCTGCCTTGGATACTTACGAGCCATGTGATGTCTGGTGAACTACTTGACCCTCCAAGCCTTGGTTTCCTTATCTGTGAATTAAAGAGCTTTGATATCCCTTCTAATTCTGACATCTTTGGTTTCAAATCTGGTCTTTCCCCCCCATTTTATGTTAAAAAATTTCAAATCTATTGAAAAGTTGAAAGAATAGTACAATAAACACTGGATTCTTCCAACGACACCATATCACAGCTAAGTAATTTAATAGTAACATAATATTATCTAATACTCAGTTTATATTATAATTGGTACACTTGTCTCAACAATGTTTCTTATATTCAGTGGTGTCCTGGTAAATGTTTAACAACCAGTTCTGCGGGAAGAGGTGCCTGATTTCCCTGAGATAAATATTTCTCAATGGCAGATGAGCTACCTACTTGAACTCAAATGAATGCTGAGCTGAGAAGACATGGTGTATAAAGAGCTCATATGAATTGGCTCCAGGACACCACTGCTACTATTTTTTCCAAATCCAGGATCCAATCAAGGGTCAGGTATTACATTAGGTATTGTGACAAAAACAACTGCATTTACAACTTCTATCATTTTATAAAGAAAAGGACATTTTAGCTCAAAAACAGGAATGGGAAAACAATCTTTAATCTTTTTGCATAACGCAAACTTAGCAGCTAAAATAAAGAAAAAAAAGATGACCTTTTAAATATGTCATCTTGATGAAAGACTCACTACATTGTTATCCTTATTTTTTCTATGTGTTGTAGATCAGTGACAGTGAACTTGCATTGGTATGGAACAATGATTGGGACCTGCTGATCATAAAGCAAAATTCAGGAGAAAGCAAATATGAAATTATAATGAATTTTACAACACATTTGTTTTTTTGCTAACCAGGATTAGCAGTATGTTTTCTGTACCCAAGAATGTGGGAGTCAGAAATCATCACGGATTTTCAAAGCATTTGTTAAAAAATTTATCTTAGGTTAAGAATTGGGCCAGGCATGGTGGCTCACGCCTGTAATCTCAGCACTTTGGGAGGCCAAAGCAGGCGGATCACTTGAGGAGTTTGAGACCTGCCTGGCCAACATGGTGAAACCCTGTCTCTAATAAATATACAAAAATTAGCCGGGTATGGTGGTGTGCACCTGTAATCCCAGCTACTTGGGAGGCTGAGACAGGAGAATTGCTTGAACCTGGGAGGCGGAGGTTGCAGTGAGCCAAGATTGTGCCACTGCACTCCAGCCTGAGCTAGAGATTCCATCTAAAAAAAAAAAAAAAAAAAAAAAGAATAAAGGAGATATTAATAGTCTTTGTCCATCAGTGTCTTGATACTCTGGCTTATTATAAAGAAAGAAAACTAGGCCTATTATCACAGAAGGAAGTCATCCCTGATTTGGGAATATTCTAAAACATACAACTTTTACTTCCTGATAAGTTCTGGCATTGAGTGAAAACAATCCGTTTCTGGGGGAGAAAAAAAGGCACTGTAGGTCTCATTCTTAATTGTCAAAGAATTAACATAAGGTCCAGACTTACCTATCAGTAGGTTCACCTTTGGCTAGTTTTTCAGCACAAGCAATAGCTCCTTTGTGAAGCCAGCAATATGTATCCACAGCTACTACCTGCCCTTTATACTTCCTCACATGGATGGGTTCTGAAGCTTCTTTGATAAATTGTAGCAATCCCTGTATCCCCATGGTGCCAAATTAACTACCTGATATGAAAAGAGACAGGGAGAACAGTAATATTTAAAGAAAAATACATTTATTAAAACATCTTAGACAAATGAAGAGAAAGCTTGGAGTCCAATGCAGAAATTGGTTTGTTGTTTTTTTTTTTTTTTGAGACGGAGTCTCGCTCTTTCGCCCAGGAGGGACTGCAGTGGCCTATATCGGCTCACTGCAAGCTCCGCCTCCCGGGTTCACGCCATTCTCCTGCCTCAGCCTTCCCAGTAGCTGGGACTACAGGCGCCCGCCACCGCGCCCGGCTAATTTTTTGTATTTTTAGTAGAGACGGGGTTTCACCATGTTAGCCAGGATGGTCTCGATCTCCTGAACTCGTGATCCGCCCGCCTCGGCCTCCCAAAGTGCTGGGATTACAGGCGTGAGCCACCGCGCCCGGCCAGAAATTGTTCAGATATTCAAGAATCACTGCTCTTTAATATTTTAGCTGGGCTCCTCCCTATCAAACAATTTCCATAGGGTAGAATTTACATTAATCACTAATACTACCTCTAATGCCACTTGACTGTTGCTTATTGTTTGTTTAGTCTTTCCAAAGTGCTTTTGCACTTTCACTCCTGACACATGCTTCAAGGAGCCAGGCACAAACAAAACCATGCATGCGATGGCATCGCATTGCCTCTACAAAGGGCATTAATCATAAGGGTCAACGTGCAAATTCAAATAGGAGTAGAAACTCAAAACAGTTTGTAGGAAGGTAAGTATTTCAATTAAAAAACAAAGGAAAAATTCAAAAAGAATTACAGAAATGATCCTGTACTTTTTTAGGACTGAAATTCACTGCTATTAGAACGCATTATTCTAAGCACGAACATTCTGGTAATAAACAGTGGTGGCGCCCAGGGGCAACTCCATCAGCCTCTCTGAAAGCTACCCTAAAGAACTGTGAAACTGCGTCTGCTATGCAAATACAGCTTCAAGACAAATGCTTTAACTTTCCACCCCCTTCCATTCCGGTTGCAGCCCCCTAAGCCCTTTCTATACAGAGATTCTGGAACTGTCACAACCCTTTCTGATGAAACGACCTCCCCCCACTCTACAATAAAAAGTCAGTAATGGGCACTGAGCAGTTGCTTAGCATTTCATAATACAAATCTCTCCTATCAAACGTTAAGTTTGGAAGGAAAGGAAGAAAGAAAGTACAGGATCAGGAGGCAGCTTTACCCTGTTGACACCTTATCAGAGCTCTAAAGGCTCTGGTCCAGCAGTTCTCAAATTTCAGAGGTTCTTAGACTCTCAACTCCACTCAGTGACTGGGATTCACTAGTTCTGCTGTGAATGAATTTTAAACAAAGCAGTTAATCTGGATGCAGGTGGTCCTCAAGCCACAGTTTCAGAAAAACAGTCTCTTACCTCTCAGATGATATCTAAAAAGAGTTTTCTCTCACTCCGAGGAAAACGGATATAATAGTTCATGAAATTTACATAAGTTTCTTCTGGGCCAGGCAAATATCCTCGAATAATTATTTCTTCTTTAGCGTAGTAAGAATGGCTGAGTGCGATAGTAAGAATGACTGTGTACATATCTCAGAGGTCGCATGTGGCACTCGAGGTAACAATAACAGCACCATCTTCACTTTATCCCTCTGTCTCGCGGAGATGTGCAGGCGTGGCCCCCAAGCCCATTCCAGACGACACGTTTCCTTAGGCCTGCAAAATATTATGGGAAAATGTACTTGTCAACATTTAAAGGTGGAGAGATTGCATGTAAAACCTGGACTGCCAGCTTCTGCGGAAAAATGAGGTAAGTCTGGCAACCCTGGCGCCTGCTCCAGCCCGGAATCGTCTGCTCTCTTATCTCCCTCCGTTCACTGAACTGCAGACCTCTGGTTGCCAGACGTCCCCTCGGAACAAAACACATACTCCACTCAGGCTAAGGGCTCCGCTGTTGGGTTGGGAAGATCACGCCAGACCCTCTCCTTCCCTTCCTGGAAGACCCGAATCCCGAGAGGAGGGTCGGAGGTGACGCGCAGGTCGACCCCCAAGGGAACCCACCCATTAGCCTCCGCACAGCCCGCTCCTCTCACCTTCCGAGAAGGGACTCTCCTCCTCCCCTTGAGCGGAGCCGATTGCGGTTGGAGAAACCCGCTCCGACGCCCCTAACTCACTGTGGCCAGAGCACCCACGGCCGGCAACGCAGAACACGGGTAACTTGCCTACACAGCGCGCGAAAGGCTGACCTTTCAATTTGCGCGGGTTCCTTGCGGCCCCGCCCAGAGGATGTGACGTCAACGCGTATCCCGCAACCCGGTTCCGCCTCCTGCGGCTTCCAACTCATAGGGTTGCGTCCTGAGCTCTCCGTCTCGCTGGGTAGACAGCGGCTCACTGCCATACGACTGCAGCCGCTGCTGCCGGCCCGAACTCCGTGCGGCTTCTTGAGGGCGCGAGTGGCACTGGCGCTGATGGCCGATGGTGAGCACCGCCTCGGAAGTTGGGAGTGTTTACACCCGCCGGGGCTGCTGGGCGTTGTAGTTCCCTCCTGGCTGCAGCCCCAGTTCTGGAGGCTGATGTTGAAAGAGCGCCGTCGCGCGTTGATGTTGAGGCTTTTCAAACCTGAAAAAGTTGCTCAGTCCCCCTCGGCGTCATCAGTCCCATCCTAATTCCTTCATTCTCTTTAAAACGCCCGGTTGCCTCTACAAATCGAAATTGAATTCAGTTCACGCTGGGTTCTTTTCCCCATTGCAGTAGTAGTAGTGATTAAAATCTGCCCCTACCATTTTACCTAGAACCCAGCTTCGTTTATTTTTGACATAAGTCGGGGAAAAATTAGCTATATAACAAGACCTTGAAAATGGGCCTTAGAGACAAAGACTTTAGAGGCATTTTGGACTTTCATGGTCACTTGTGGCTAGGTTTCCAATCCTCATAACACCCCAGACCTCGTCGCTGTCCTCTTAGGGATATTGTAATTTAAAAAATTGGAAGAAACCTTAGGCCAGACCACAAAGTAATGTTCTGGGCTCAAAGATCAATAGGAATGATAATGCAGACTCAATTCAAGGAATTGAAGGGGAAGAAGTGAGCACATTGTTAAACATGCTCCCCATTTGATTACGTTCTTTACATCTTTTCCTCTTTTAAAGTCTTTTTATGATCACTCTAACATCTATCATGCCAATTTTAAAGGCATCTATGATGCCTTAAATTTGTTACTAAAATTGTTGAAAAGGTGCCACATTTGGGGAATGTGTTTGGAAAAGCTGTGTTGCTTTCTCCCTGGTTCTGGTCTTTAGAGCTGGGACTAGGAGAGATGAGAAAAGTTATCTTCCCTCCCTCTTCCAAAGGCTATGGTAGACCTAACCCTAAACTAGCTTGGAGTGGACTCTTGGAGAAAGTGGGGGACAATTTCAAACTGCAGTAGATTAAAGAGGAACTTCGATGTGGGCAGCATGTGTTTGTAGAGAAGCCTTCTTACACTCATTGGACTATCCAGCTGTAGTAACTGCTTCAGTACCTAGAATCCAACCATGAATATATCACACATGGGGGTCTTAGGAAGGAACCCCAAAATCAAAAAGGTGTCCATTCCAGTGTCACTGGATCTGTCATAAAACTAACATGAGAGTTTGCTGCACTGTGAACGGCTCATGTATTTACTGTGAATTTGACTCCCAAGGTTTCAAACTGTATTCTTGGCTGCAGTGTTCAAAGACTAAAATTGGAAAAGAAAACACTAGTTACAATACATTTCACTAACAGAATATTTTTACTCTTTGGGAGGACAAAACCATTTGCATCAATGTGTGCAGTAATTTACTACTGCCTTAAGTGTGCCTGTCAGTTCCAGGTGGCATGGAGGCATAAAGAGATGTCCTGTGTCTTCAAGGAACTTAAGATCTAGTTCTGTAGACAAAACACATGTTTATGAGACAGTTAAGTCACAAATCATGATGGCATGTTATTAAATGCTGAAATAAATGGTATATCCCATATGTTTCCAGCTTAAGACTCAGTTCCAATGTTACCAGTTTCCAAATGTCTTCCCTAAGTTAGATATTTGTTTGATATGCACAAGCATTCTGTGATGGCTCTTTGGTCCTGACACTTCTCATATTCTCATTGTGTTTGAATTGTCTTTGCCCTTCAATAGACTGAAAACCTTTTGAGGTAGGGTTGCCAGATTTAGCAAATAATAACGTAGGACACCCAGAAATTTGAATTTCAGATGAACAACAGATAAATTTTTAATATATCTAATGCAATATTTGAGACATATACTAAAAGAAATCCCTGTTTATCTGAAATTTAAATTTATCTTGGCATTCTGTAATTTTATCTGGCAACCTTACTTTGAGGGCAGGGATTATGTCTATGAATTTTCACATCCCAGTAGCACTAGTGTTGATTTTAAACATTTCAAATGTGTGGACTAATACATGAATGTCCTAGGTATGGCACTATTATTATGGGTTTTCTGGGCTGCTCTTATCTTTATTTTTTTATTTTTTATTTTTATTTTTATTTTTTTTTAAGACAGAGTTTCGCTCCTGTTGCCCAGGCTGGAGTGCAATGGTGCGATCTCGGCTCACTGCAACCTCTGCCTCCTGGGTTCAAGCGATTCTCCTGCCTCAGCCTCCCAAGTAGCTGGGATTACAGGCATGCGCCACCACGCCTGGCTAATTTTGTATTTTAAGTAGAGACGGGGTTTCTCCATGTTGGTCAGGCTGGTCTCGAACTCCCAACCTCAGGTGATCCGCCCGCCTCAGCCTCCCAGAGTGCTGGGATTACAGGCGTGAGCCACCGTGCCCGGCCAGCTCTTATCTTTAAATACTGTATCTTGTTGAAATATCAGGTTGCCTGATTTTTAATTTGGAAGATACTGTCTCCATTGTTATAGGGCAGTGTTTTCTACAGTGTGGAACTTAGCCAATGACTTGGGGCCTAGTGAGAGTTGTGGGTGCCCTCTAGATGGCCTCCTGCCTTTGCCTGGTTTCAGGCAGGGTTGCTAGAACCACAGCTGAGCAGCACCTTCCCCACCACACACACACATGCACACACACACACACACACACACACACACACACACTGATGCATACACCAGTAATTTCTAAGAAGAGACATAGGAGTGGGGGTTCTTTTTAGTCAGCAGCATTAGGAAGCTTTTTCTAAAGCTCAACTTCCCTCCAAATCAGAGACATGGGAACAAGGGACAACCTCAAGTGTTGGGCAAGTCAGCATCGTCTTGTCACCTCATATGGGACTAGGTTTTTATTTTGCTCCTCTGTTAAAATGAATGTGGATAGGTGTTCAAAACAGTATGTATGCAGTGTAAAGGTGAAGATGAAGGAATTGTGCACAGTGCTGGTGACTATTACATATATATGGAACAGAATATCCTTTTTCTTCTGACTGATCATCAACGGCTCTGGTTTTCTGTTTAAGTAACTTATTTTTAGGCGCTCATTTTTGCAGCTCAATTTGATTGATTTTGATTGCATTCAATTATTTTTACATTTTTAAATTATTTTAATCGAATGACTTTGTGTCCATTGTATTTTTACGGTTATTTCTATTATGGCAAGTGACACAGTGTTAACATGAAACTTGCTTTTTAAGTAAATTTAAGTTGAAAATCGATTAAGTAAACAATAGAACAGGTGTTTTGCAGCAATGGTAAATATGAGTAAGTGAGCTTTCCGTAACAGTCATTTCTTCCATCTTTAAAATAACCCTTCAGTATTCCCCTCATTTCTCTGCTCCTGTTATCGTAAAACTTTTTGAAAAAAAAAATCCTGTACTTCCTGTCTCAAATTCCTCCATTTACTATTATAAATAGTAATATTGTATTACTATTACATTATATTATATATGTAAAACATACATACAGAAAGCATAAATCCTAAGCAAATTATCACAAAATGAACATATATTGCTTCTACTTGGTCCCTCCCAGAAGACACTTCGTAGCTCGTTTCCAATCAGATATCTCTGTCCTAACTACTAATCTGCCTTTTTACTGCAAGTGTTGCCTCGTTTGTGAAATGTATATAAAAGAAATGATGCAGTTTTTATCCTTTAGCATTTGGCCTCTTTTACTCAACATCATGTTTGTGAGATTCATCTGTATTATCGAGAGCACCTATAGTTTGTTTTTTGTTTGTATTTCAATGTAGAATTCCATTATGTAAGTACATTATAATTTATTCATTCCACTATTGATAGATATCTGAGTGGTTTCAAGATTCTATTACTACTGCTTCTGTGAACATTCTTGTAACTTCATGTGCATGTGACTTCAACTCCCACTCTTCTTGCTCTTGCCCACTCTACTTTAGCCATCTAGCCTCCGTGCCATTCTTTGAATATGCCAGGTACACTCCCACCTCTAGGGCTTTGCATACGCTGTTCCTTCTTCCCAGAATGCTCTTCCAACAGATAGCCCCGTAGCTTGGTCCTTTACTTCGCTCAGTAATACACATAGGTTTCTTCTCAGTGAGATATTCTCCAATTATGCTATTTAAAATTGCAATTCCTAGCCCTACTTTGGGATACCTAATTTTCCTTTCCCTGATTTATTTTTCTCCATGATACATACAATTGGACAAATTACATATTCTAGTTATCTATTTGTTAATTGAGCATCTCTCACCTCACTATAATGAAAGCTCTATAAGAGCAGGGATTTTTACCTATCTCCTATAACATTGTCTGGCACATAGTAAACTCCAGTAAACTTCTGGTTGAATAGACAAATGAATATTGAAATTAGCTAACAGCCTGGATCTAAAAGAGACACTGATGTTTTTAGAACTTAGATGTTTGGGCAATATAGCTGTTTTCAAAGCTGTTTTACAGTGAAATTAAACAACTCCAAAGTTATCAGGATGAGTATTATTTGAATAATCTAGGACAGAGAATGCAGAAAGAGTAAATGCTGTCCTCATTCCCTACTGCAGAGGGAAAACGATTTTAAATAGCCTCTGTTTTTGTCCTTCACCAAAAAAAAAAAAAACTATGAAATGCATTTTTGCAGAATGACACTTCTAAAAAATATTATCTCTGGCTCCAAAATATACATTTTAGGGAAACTGGCATAGGTCTTTGGCAAAGCTTTCTTGGAGGTGATTGATATATTAGCATCGACAGTACCTATCTATCTAAATAATAAGTGTTACTATTAGAGTCTTGAATTATAATACTTAGGGAACAATTAGTATTTTTCAGGTTAGTTGTATATATTTACATCCTTAATTTGTTTACCACTCCTAACGATGCTATGAGGATGGCACATTTGTTATCCCCATTTTACAAGTGCGACAGCTGAAGTACAAAGGGATTTGAACCCTGTGTAGTTTGGCTGTGGAATCTGCTTT
Organism: Homo sapiens; assembly: GCF_000001405.40. NCBI lineage: Eukaryota > Metazoa > Chordata > Mammalia > Primates > Hominidae > Homo > Homo sapiens. The sequence goes on along the minus strand of NC_000001.11, from coordinate 241,843,067 downwards.
TAACTTACCTTTGGATAGCTAGCATATGTATTTATCTGTGGAGAGATAGATATTATGTTAACATTTTCAGAGTTACCAATTGACTAAATCCCCTTTGGATGATTTGGGAAAAAGAAAGAAAAGGAACAACTTTTTTTATAATCTACCATGTTTTGCATGTGCTACCTCATGTAATCCTCGTAATAGCTCTGGAAGATAACTATTGCTACCCTCATTTACAGAAGAAAAAAGCGGAAGCAGAGAGAAGCAGGTAATAGTGTCATAGACCTAAAGCTGTTATGTGATGTGATTCAAGCTAGTATCTGTCTGACTCCAAATGGCTATATTCTTCACTATGACACATAGTGGGAAGAATGTACCCAGTGAATAGCAAAGATCCAGAGAGGAGGAGGAATACATAGTTCCAGCTGGTAGCAGGCTGTCATGGAGTTGTGGAATCAAAAAGACAATAGGCACAATCCTGAGAATGTTTGGATCCAAAGATACATTTTTCTGACCTTGGCCTTCAAAGCTACTCCCAGGTGAGCTCAAGGTGAATGAGTGGGAGAGGGCCTCTGCAATCACAGCCAGGCTAACTCTTCATTCTTGTATGAGATCTTTAATAAGTCATACATCCTGGGCCCAGTGGTTCAGACTGAGGAAGCTTCTCTTCTTACCGTTGGAGCAGCACTTGCTTCTCTCATGATTTTCAGTGTTACCACGACTTTCTCATGGCCCAAGTGAATTTGCTTATCTCCATGCTTCAACTTTTTGCTTATCTCCATGCTTCAACTTTTTGCTTTTGTTTTTTTAAAAAAATTAAAAATACAAAAAGTTCAGAGAATGCTACCCACTTTCTTGGTGAACTTGGGACTTAGTCATAGGAGTGAAATGGATATTGCTCTTTTGACTTTAATGACAAAGTGTGACTTGCAATGGGATATCAGAATAATAGTTCCAAAGTGGTAAGCTGCTGAAGGACACCCACTCACTAGGTAGCAAAAAGGGACATTTCTATTGAAAACTCAGTGAAATATAACCTGGAACAATGAAATAGACATCAATACATCAACACAGTGAGAATTACAGCCAGCAACAGAATGCTTAGTGAGGAGAAATACAAGATGGAGAGGCTCAGCTAAACAAAGGCGTCACATTGATTATAAAGCTAAGAGTGGTCCTTGTATGGTAAGTGCCAGATTCCGCATGAAGCAGCTGGTCTCAGAATAAAAGAGTAATGAATTTCTGTCCACTTATTGGTCTTTCAGCCTCCAGGGGACTTACTCAGCCAGCAGTTCTATTTTCAGAAGCAGAGGATAAACACATGCTTTAATTCCGTCATTTAAAATCTAATAAGTATTTTTAACAAACATCTGTGGCCAGTTTTTCCATTGGTCTTTTGTATATCTATATATACATCTATCAGTATATCTCCATAGATAGCTTCCATTATCCCTTTTATACCAGCTCAGTTAAGAGCTTAATGTCTAGCCTACCTTGCTTGAATTCAAATCTGGGCTGTGTAATGTATTAGCTGTTAATTTGCTGACTTTAGAAAAAGTTCCCCATCTCTTTATTTGATTGGGGTGACCGCGGAGCATAATGTAACCTCTGAAATGACTTAAACCAAGACTGCACTAGTCTAAGTGAGCCATTGCACATTGACCCAATAATTTGATCAACAGAATAAAATGAAAATAAATAAATAATTTTCCATTTTCCTTATTTGAAAACTGGGAGGAACAATAGAGCTAATTGAACTGCTTCATAAGATCGTGAAGATTACATGAGATAATCCATTTAAATTGTATAGAGTCTAGTGTCTGGACTGCGACACTCAACAGTGAAGTGAGAAAAAGCCCCCAAAACGTAGTCATGGACACGATGTATAGTTTGTCAAGAGCTTTCACATGCATTTCCATTTGGTCTTCAGAAGACGAGGCCTGGATCATTCAGTGGCTCACCTAATATCACAGAACAAGTGGTGGAGTCAGAATCTTTTATCTAAAGGAGATATTTTCATCCTTAGATTAATGTCCTCTTCACAGTCTCATGCTACTTTCCTTTAAAATGAAATTGCTGTTCTTTTTTTAATTGATTTGGCCAACTTCATTTGTAACGGAAGAATCAAAATTAGAGCCCGGGTCTCATCCTACGGTATCTCGTCCTGAACCTCTGGTCTCCCTCAAGAATGACTCAGAAGGAACGGAACTGATTAAATTAAAATTTTGCTCATGCATATTATCATTCATTTCTGAAAACTTGCTGGGATTTTAAAGAACTTTTAGTTACCTAAGGAAAGGAAATTAAATTTTACTGAGCAGAAGTCTTGGTGGTAAATGACAGAAACCCACCTCAACTTGGTTTTTGTATGAAGGGAATGCATTCCTTCTGTTACAGGTTCTATAACGACCCCAATACCTCAGAATGTGACCTTATTTGGAGATAGGGTCTTTGCAGAGGTAATCAAGTTAAAATAAGGTCATTACTGGAGGGTTGGGGGTGAGGAGCTAATCCAATTTGACTGATGTTTTTATGAGAAGGAAAAATTTGGGCAAAGATACACATGGAGGGAAGCTGTGAAATAACGTAGGGAGAAGACAACCATTTACAAGCCAGGGAGAGAAGCGTTGAACAGATCCTTTCCTCACAGCCCTCGGGAGAAACAAACCCTGCACCTTGACCTGGGACTTCTAGCCTCCAGAACTGTGAAGCAATACATTCCAGTTGTTTAAGCCAATCAGTTTATGGTTGTTACAGCAGCCCTAACAAACAAATACACTCTCTTGTTCCTGGAAAGTGCGGGAATAACTCAAGAATTTAGGCTCAGATGGACTTGAGGGATCAAACAATATCATTAGGACTGGCGTCTCTTCATCTCTTTTTCTTCTGTGCTGGTTTTACCATATCTCGTCAATTTTAAAATGCATGTTTTTCTTTTTCACATGTCTGAAATCAAAATGCAATGTACAATTTCTTATTACATTTCTTTATCGTTAGAAGTGTAGAAAATAATGGTATATCTTGTAATTAATGGCATCTTAGGAAACCTTAGAGTGTTCACAGGCAGGCTATTTATGTGGGCAAATTTGCAGCTCAAAGCTTAATATCTAAGTTACCCTATGACTCCAGAGAACCTTTTCCCAGTTGTTTCAGGAGAAGGCCCTGAGCAAATGTTCACCGGCTGTAATTGACCTGGCTTTGCACATACTCAACCCTGGAAAACAGGGCTGGGGAAGGGGCAGGTAGACTTCAGCACACTGAAACCACATGGCATAAGAATAGCAAAAAGGGGATTTCCCAAAAGAAAACAAAGTGCTTTTACCAGGAGAGGAAGGGCTGAATGCCCAGAAGACCTGTGTCGCCACAAGTACCTGCCTGTGCCAAGGGCTGCCACAGGACTCTTGCTTGATTCTCATTATAACTCTGTGAAGCAGGAGGTATTGTCAGATCCACTTCACTCATCAGGAAACTGAGGCTTGAAGAGCCACAGGCCTATAGGCAGAGCTGAATATTGCCAAATGGTTACAGAGTGCTTACAATGTGCAAGACACCCCCTAAGATCTACAGATACAAGGATGAACGTTGTCCTTTTGCCCGAGGAGCTCAGCTTAGAGGGGAGATAGACCCGAAGCACCAAACAGCTTACTATGAAATAAAAGGGTATCACAACAGAAATGGGAACATAGTACTATGAAAACAATTAAATCTGCTTCGGCAGGAAGGGAGACCCAGTATGGAAGCGGGCATTGGAAAAGGCTTTTTTCACACCCCAAAAACACCTTTCTTACACTTGTGGCAAATTCCAACATCAGAGCACTGGGAAACGGTGATCTTGTTAAACCTTGCAAAGGGCCCGCTTCATGGAAAGTGTTTATTAGACAGTTATAGAGTGAGTGATCACAAGGATGAAGTAGGTCTTACTCGACAAAACTGAATGTCACTGGACGTGATCTTGCTTTACAGGTCCTGGGCCTCCAGCTTTGTGGGCAGTCATGACATCCAAGGGTGCCATTTTGCGCCAGAGTTTTTGCTCCACATTTGCAAACAGAGGGACTCATAGCTCTAAAGTTCCCACTGTCTTTTCCTCTGAACTTTGAGCAACATTCTTCTGCTTTTTTGAGCTGTTTCATTATGAATCATCTCCCTATATTAATAAAAATTTGTTTTCTAAACATTTGTTTCATTTAGCTTTCAAAAAATCTTACCAGGTTGTAATAGAGCTCACTTTTACTCTGCTTTGTGTTCATAAACTAAAAAATATATAATTTTATGAAATATATAGGTTTTCATAAATCTTTGTGTCTCAGTCTATAATAAAGTGATATGTATTTTTAATTTCTATTCTATTGTTTTTTTTTCTTTTTTAAAATGAAACTAGAAGCAAATCTCATTTATTCTACTATTTTTTATGATCAAGTTTTATCACAAGACTAGGATGGGTAGCTGACTTGTTCTCACACTGGTGCCCTCTAGTCTTCCTTGCTGTTCCCTCCCCTACTTTCTGGAATCTCCCTTTTCCATCTAAGAGATGCTCAGTGTTCTTTTATTTTTTTTTTAAGTGAAAAATTCAAAGAGATGGGGTACTGGCTATGTTGACCAGGCTAGTATCGAACTCCTGGCCTCAAGTGATCCTCCCATCTCAGCCTCCCAAAATGCTGGGATTACAGACCTGAGCCACCATGTCTGGCCTCCACTACTGTTTTATGAGTACCTTTATGATGTCCAGTATCCTTGTTGGTAGGACCTTTGTCCACTACTACTGCTGATAAATCCAATTACTCTTCCAAAATGAAAATTTGAGCTCATTAACTATCAAGAGTTGTTTAGGAGATGTATTTCTTTTCTACACACACCACCTACAGCTGGTCTCTCTAGGCTGAGATATTTCTGCTCACTGGAGACCAGATCATCAGCTACAGAGGCTTGGGTCAAGAAATGTCTTAGTCACAGTGAACCCGCTGCATTCCACTGTGTATCTGTCTCCCTTAGGCATAAACTTAGGTTTTCCACGTCAAAATTCCTGTAAGGCAGTGTGAAATTCCGTAAATCCTTTTTGGCAAAAGCATTTCTGGGCTTGCGTAACTCAGATATAAGTCCCTTAATCTCATTGCCATTTTATCTTTATAAGCCAATCTTCAGTAACTCTGCAACTATTATAATGACTTTTTCAAACCTTCAGGTAACCTTCAGGTATGTGTAACTCATACTGGTGAAATGCTGCTATACAGCTTTCTAGAAATGATCAGAACTACTTAGAAATCTTGTTTTGGGTAGAAATTGTAGTTATATATAAAGCACCTTTATTCTTGAAAAGGGCACTGGCTCTATTCATCAAAAAATCCTCAGTTTAGGTGACCTTTTGAGAGTGAACGTGAGCAGAACGCAGACCATCTATGGCTTAGGTTTTCCTGGCACATTGCAGCCCCATTGAAAGATCTCGCTGTAGCAGTGGGAGTCCTCATGGACCACGGGTCCTGCCCACCTTTCTTTTTCTCCTGTGTATTTTTTGAAGGTCTGGCTCCTACTGATGCTAGGAATTACTTTGTCATCCTTAGGTAGTATTTTTGCTTAGACTAAAGGTCATGTCCTTCTTTCTCGAATTACCCACTTACTGCAAATTAAGATGCCTCCATGCCTCCTAAATCAATGTGTATCTTCTAATTATAATAGAAACACATTTTTTTGATAGTGACCACAGGAAAATACAGAAATGTATCAAGAAGAAAACAAAAATCTCCAGTAATCCTACTGTTATATCCAGAAATCACTACTATTAACATCTTCTGTATTTCCTGGCACTGTTTTTAATGCCTGTGTGTGTACGCATATTTAAAAAAACTTGGCTTTATAATAGACATAAATAAAATGTTGCATATTTTCTCATATGTCAGTATTTCCTGAGTGTTTTCCTGTGCAGTACATGTTCTTTGAACATGTCCTATTATATATTCCTTCATTATGAATGACTCATAATGATTTAACACTGCACCTATTATTGGGTGTTCGGCTTGTATTTATCTTTTATTGTTAATGGTAGGCATACTTATATCTTTATTTTCTTATCCAATAATCTACTTAGGATTAATTCCTTGAAGAGGAATTGCAGAGTTAAAAGCTTTGATTGTTTTTATCTTTAATGTTCTTGATATACACTAACAGATCGCCCTCCAGGAAGGTCTTGTCAATTTAAATACCGGCTCTTAGGCCTGCTTCTTTGAAAATTCTCCCAAAAATGAACGATATTTTTACTAATTTTTTTTTTTTTACTATATGATGGGTGAAAATGTTATTTACTCTTCTTTTCCATTTTGTTTCTTTGGATAATAAGAAGTTGAACATTGACTTTCTTGTGTTTTTTTTCTTATTTACATCTATTTTGTATGTTAATTCTTTATATTCTGTTCTTTTTTTTCTATTAGATTCTTAAGGCTTTTCTTTCTTTTCATTTTTGTTAGACCTCAGCTACAGAGGATTGAGTTAAATAATATCCTCTTTTCATGGAAATTATCAGCATCATTCCCTTTTATCCTGATTCCTGATTCCCATTTTCCTCTCCCGCTGCCCCACGACACACAAATGCAAGCTTCCAAGCTTCCTAGTGTGTTCAGTGAATACTCTTTCAGTTATACGAGTTCTTGTTAAGTGTGTGTTATTGTAAACATGCATTTTCAATTTATATAAATCAAATGGTACTGTGTATTACATTTAATTCTTCTTATTTTCATTTAGTGCTCAATAGCCACATGTGGTTAGTGGCTACCATATTGGACTGTGTAGATTTAGAACATATTCATTATTGCAGAAAGTTCCATTGGAGAAAACTATTCTAGATATTAGATGCAGATCAATTTTAGACCTTGAGATGTCTTCTCCTATTCTGTCATGTGTCTGCTAAATTTGCTGATTATTCCTGTATTGTATAGAAATCTCCAAGTTTGATGTAAATACATTTATTGTTTGCCTTATGATTTGTGCTTTGCAAATTTTGTTTAAGAAGTCTTTTCCCACCCTAGATCACCAGTATACTCTGTTATGTTACCTTCCATTAATTTTTATAGTTTCTTCCCTTTTACATTTAGGTTTTTGGTCTGTTGAAGTTCACCTTTGTTATTTGGTGTTAGGTAGAAATCTAGTTTTATTTTTTTCCATACGTGAATAAGTTTCACTAACATTGTCTGTTTTAAAATCTATGTCTTTTCTTCATTGATTAGTGGTGCTATTTTTATTATGTATAAGTTCCCATGAGTGTATGGATCTGTTTCTAAACTCTCTCTTCTGTTTCATTGGTCTAGTTATTTGTTCTTCACAATTCATACTTTTTATTATTGACATTGTTCTATGTCTTAGTATCTGACAGGACACGTCCTGTTTTTATACTCTTCTTTTTAAAGGGTTGACCTATCTATGGACATTTATTCTTCCAGATAAATTTTAGAATAAATTTATTTAGTTTATCTAAAAGAAAACTGGACGTTTGAATGAGATTTAATTGGATTTAGGTGAATTAAGTCTAACTCAAAAAACTTTGACATCTTGGAAAATTAAATCAGCCTGTTTTAAACCATATATTTATATAATCATCTGTGTCCTTTACTGGCATTTAGAAGCTTCCCCCACCCCAGAGATATTGTATATTCTGGTTCAGTTAGTCCCCATATATTTTATTGTTTTATTTCCGTAGATTGTATCTCCTTTTAAATTTTTCTAGTTGATTATTGCTGCTACAGAGAAATGCTATGGCTTTTGTAAGTTGATCTTATAAGTGGAAACCATGCAAAAGCTTATCCATTCTTATAGTTTGTTGATTTGTAAAAACTCTTAATTTATTAAAAGTGTTTTGCTATCTGTAGGTCATATTTATTAGAAGTGTTTTCCAGTTTGTTATTTGACTTAGAATTTTATTTATGATGTATTTTTACACTTCTAAGTTTTAAATTTATCAGGTAGCAAATTCTGTTAATGCTATTTTGTCATTTTTATCAATTAATTTATGCTATTTGTCAAAAGGAAGTGTATTTTCCTTTTTTTCTTCAGTACTAGCAATCTGTTTTATTGTTTCCCCAAAATATAGAGTTCTTCACGGAATGCCAAAGTAGACAGAAAGTGTGTAGCACTTTTGATCCACTAGAGGCCAACACTTGCTTGAAAGAAACTGGCATGCTTTCCTAAATCTCCTATTTTTTTCCTCTCTGAATGGGAAGAAACTGGCTGAAAAAAAGCCTTACAGAAAATAACTAATTTCTATTTAAATTAGATGTCTAGAAATGCTATAGAAAGAAGAATCTGGACAAAAAGAAAAGGCTATTTTCAAAGACAATAAGTTATATAAAGAGGATTCAAAGCAACAAAGCTGTTTTTAGTGGAAAAAAAATGAAAGCAGAAAATCCAAATAAAACAGTTTAAAATGTTTTAAAAATTTAACTTAGAAGAAAGAGAAAACTAAAATAGAAATAAAAAAGGTCCAGCTTCTACTCAAAATACACATTTAGTGTCATTAAATAAGAAGTAGGTGACAAGAGGCTGGGCGCGGTGGCTCACACCTGTAATCCCAACACTTTGGGTGGCCAAGGCAGATGGATCACAAGGTTAAGAGATCGAGACCATCCTGGCCAACATGGTGAAACCCTGTCTCCACTAAAAATACAAACAATTAGCAGGGCGTGGTGGCGGGCGCCTGTAGTCCCAGCTACTCGGGAGGCTGAGGCAGGAGAATCACTTGAACCTGGGAAGTGGAGGTTGCAGTGAGCCGAGATTGTGCCACTGCACTCCAGCCTGGGTGACAGAGCGAGACTCCATAAAAAAACAAACAAACAAACAAAAAGTAGGTGACAAGAAACAGCAGACAATAGTGGCTTTTTCTCCCTTTTCCTCTTTGCTCTGAAAAACCAGGAGATGGGGCTAACCTGCCTCCCATTCTGTAGGGTTCCTGCACAGATAACTGGGTGAAAAACAATTCCCAAACTGAAAAAAATCCATTGTTTTAATTCCAGTGAGGTGATCTGTAGGAAATAACCACGCTGGCTTACAAGCAGACATTGAAAGGTGGTTCTTCTCTGAGGCTTATTCTTAAAATCATGTTTATCACTCAAAAGCAGACATATCTACAGAGGGAGGGATGAAGAGGAGGGAAAGAAGGAAGGAGGGAAGGAGGAAGGGTGGGCCAATACCAAGACTGCAATTCTCTTATCTATGAAAACATAAAGAATTGCGAAAAACGGTTCTTTACATATAGACAGAGGTGCTTATAATTTAGAGCTGGAAAAAAATGATCAAGATTAAATGACAGCCCACATGCAAAACACTATAAAAAGCAAGGTACTATTATTATTATTACAAAGGTGCATCTGCCAGCGGGGATCTTGGCTTCTGGGTGCCCTTTCATAAGTAGGGCAGCTACGTCATATCATATATGAAAGCCTATGCTATACAAAGAAGTTATTTTTACATCAATCGAAATAAATGCATAAAAGATTTACGTTTGCATTGAAGACAAGGTAAAATTTTTAAAAATCAATGGGAACGCATCTTAGACATGCCAAGTTATATTATAAAGAACTTCCAAATGAATATGTTTTCTGCTGGCTTTTGATTTAATACCTATAAAAACTGAGTACATACAGTAGGAAGGGCACATTTACAAGGATGGACTGAAAAATACCATATGTTATTTCACAAAGTTTCGTTAACTTTTAATGAATTAAATTTATTTTCATTTATAAGAAGTATGTGCACAAGATAGAAAATGCACACACAGCTAAGGGGTTTCATTGGAAAGCACTCTGCTCTCCTAAACCCATTCCCATTCCCTCATCTACCAGTGTCACCATCCACAGTTAATTGTCATTGCCACTTTCTTACCATCGGTATGTCTGAATTTTTTTTTTTTTTTACAGAAATGCTAGTATGCCATACAAATTGTTCCACATCTTGCCTTAAAATGCCACACCATCACCAATAACCACTTAACATAATATGGTTTGCTCTTCATCTCAGGTCAGTTAGGTCAGAAGGAGGTATGCTTTATTCTAAGTTACACAGTATTCCACCAGATGAATGTATCATCGTTGATTTGTCTAGTCTCCTACTGAAAGACATTTAGATTATTTTCAGCCCTTGGCTATAAAAAACAATAATCCAGTGATTTTCTGTGTACTTCTATTTTCTTTGTGGAAATATGATTTAGGAATGGAAACCTAGAAGAGAAATTGATGGGTCAAAGGTATGAGTGTTTTTTTGTTTGTTTGCCTGTTTTTGTTTGTTTTTTTGTAGTCAGCTATTTAATTAGGTTCTTAAGGCATTTAGAATGCCAATTTGTGAGGATAAATTCCATTTGTCCGGGCAAACACAGATGGCAGGTAGACCTGATGCTGAGGAATAGCTTTGGTTTTTCGTAAAATGTGTGAGTCCACAGCTTTCTGATCAATCTTGCACTGCTCTGTAATCTTGTATTTCTCTTTTTCTGTGTTGAAGATCTCACCTTCCTGGTCTGAACTTCCACAGCTTCTTCTTGAAGTAAGCATCACTAAGATGTTCTGGGATTTTTACATTGCTGATATCAATTTTGGTTGAAGTCGCAATGACAAATTTCTGGTATTTTCTTCATAGAGGAACTCGATTGAGGGCCAGAGGTCCAGTCACAAGTAATAAGCCACTAGCCAGCTGCTTCAGGAAAACCACCCTCTTGCCCCTGTGGCCTCCAGTGAGGAGGATCAGAATGGTCCCCGGGGTAATGCTGGCTCGCAGTTTTCTCACGTGCTGACTGAAGGGTTTGTTGCCATGGCTCAGCAGCTTTCCAGGCACATCTTCAGTAGGATAATATCTAGGCATTTTGCGAAGTTTAACCACCCGGGTACCACCGTTCTTGTCACCACCAACTGGTTTTGTAACAGTTGCAAAAACCTTCTCCTTCTTTTTCTTTTCAACCTTGGATTTAGCGGCTGAGTACTTCCTCTTATACGTGGCCTTTCTGGAATACACGGCAGGTCAGGAATACCTGCCAATTCCTCTGACAAGGACAGGATTGCACTGCAATGGGGCTTCCCCTTCTTGGGCTTTTTAGTCTTGAGGTGACCCTTTTTCACCACCAGCATCAGCCTTCTTGGCTTTGGGTTTCTTCTCTTTGGTATCTGGCTTCTCAATTGTTTCACCTGCTGTCTTGTAAGATGGGAAAGAGAGTTTGTGTGTGTGTGTGTGTGTGTGTGTGTGTGTGTGTGTCTGGCTTCTCAATTGTTTCATCTGCTGTCTTGTAAGATGGGAAAGAGAGGGGTGTGTGTGTGTGTGATGGAGTTTTGCTCTTGTTGCCCAGGCTGGAGTGCAATGACATGATCTCGGCTCACTGCAACCTCTGCCTCCAACCGATTCTCCTGCCTCAGCCTCCTGAGTAGCTGGGATTACAGGCGCCCACAACTATGCCCAGCTAATTTTTGTATTTTCAGTAGAGACGGGGTTTCACCATCTTGGCCAGGCTGGTCTCAAACTCCTGACCTCAGGTAATCTGCCCGCCTCGGCCTCCCAAAGTGCTGGGATTACAGGCATGAGCCACCACGCCTGGCCTGGTATGAGCATTTTAATGTGTATAGATACTGCCAAAATGGCCCTTCCCTGGGATAGTACCAGTCTGTATTCCCAAGGGGAATGCCTTTCCCACCACATTCTCCCCAAGATTGCTTTTAATCAAATATTTTGTTCTTTTCCAATCTGATAGGAGAAAAAAAAAGAATCTTGTGGTTTTAATTTGCATTTCTCCTATTGTGGGTAAAAGTTTGACATCTTTCTGTTTTAAAACTATTTGTATTTTCTGTGAATGGATTATCGTGCTTTTGCCCATTTTCCTGTTTACCTATTTTGATTGTAAAACTTACAAAAAGTATTTGTAGATCCTTATGTAACATAGAAATTAGCCCATTGTCTGTTTTATGTGGTATAAAAATTATTTTCCTGAGTTTATTAGCAGGAATTTAAACATTTTAAGTAGCCAATTTTTATTTTACTTTTAAATCTTTGATGCAGCTAAAATTCATTTTGATGTAAGAAATGATGAATTTCTTGATATGTATGAGGTTGATATCTAGAATTATTTTCCTTCTCCAGATGGTTCCTCAATAATATCCAATTTAGGTCTTGACAGTTCTTCTTTCCCATTGATTTGAAGGGGCCATTTCTGATAATCTGCCTTCCTATATGCATGTACGTCTGTCTAGACTCTTTTGTTAATTGGTTGTTTTTTTTTTTGGCGATGGAGTCTCACTCTGTTGCCCAGGCTGGAGTGCAGTTGCACGATCTTGGCCCATTGCAGCCTCAGCCTGCGGGGCTCAAGTGATCCTCCTGCCTCAGCACTTCCCAATAGCTGGGATTACAGACACGCAACACCACGCCCAGCTAATTTTTTTTGTATTTTTAGTTGGCCAGGCTGGTCTTGAACTCCTGGCCTCAGGTGATCTGCCTGCATAGGCCTCCCAAAGTGCTGGGATTACAGGTGTGAGCCACTGTGTCCAGCCTGTTGATTGGTCTTTATATCTATTGATACACTAGACATTTTGGCTACTATTGCTTTATAATATGTTTAACTTTCGAGAGGACTAGTACCCCCTTTTTTAGAATATTTTTTTCTGAAAATCATAAATATTATTATTATTCTCCTATGAACTTTAAAACAGCTTACATTAAAAGGTTTGTTCTTATTTTTAGTGATCACTTAAAATGTATATATTAGTTTAGGGAGGATGTTTGTCATTATATAATAATACTAAGACTCCTGCATCAAAACCCAATTAAGTTCTTTTTAAGTCTTGTTTATCTCTGTTTACATTTTTATTTTATTTCGAGACGGAGTCTTGCTCTGATGTCTGAAGTGCAGTGACACGATCTCAGCTCACTGTAACCTCTGCCTCCCGGGTTCAAGTGATTCTCTTGCCTTAGCCTCTGAGTAGCTGGGACTACAGTCCTGTGCCACCATGCCGGGCTAATTTTTGTATTTTTAGTAGAGATGGGGTTTCACCATGTCGACCAGGCTGGTCTTGAACACCTGACCTCAGGTGATCCCCTTGACTCAGCCTCCCAAAGTGCTGGGATTATAGGCATGAGCCACCGTACCCAGACTCTCACTTTACCTTTTTAAATTAAAAAAACAAAATTATGAAGATTTTAAAATTTTATACAGGATTAAAATTATTTAATACAGATCTTGCATGTTTATTGTTAAATATATTCCTAAGAATATTTTAATCACTGTTATGTACATCTTTTGTTAAATTATATTTATCATTTGATTGTTGTTTGTATATTGGAAAGCTACTACTTTATTTTACACTAACTTTTTACCTAGCCAGTTTACTGATTTTTTTTTCTTGTTTATAATGCTTTTGAGTTACTTCTCTTGGGATTTCCAGGTATTACAGTCACATCATGTGATAATAATAGCATTTAAAACTTTTTCTGTCTTCATTTTTAGGAAGTAAGAATATACTAAGAGTAAAGTTGCAAAACTTATCTTTGTTGTACATAGAACCATTATTTACAGAGTAAAGTTGCAAAACTTATCTTTGTTGTACATAGAACCATTATTTACAGAATAAACATCTGGAATACAGAGTAAAGGTTGGGTATATATTAAAATAGTAAGGGTTGGGGGTGAGGAAAAGAGGGGAGAGAGAGAGAGAGAGAGAGAGAGAGGGAGATTATCAGAAAAAAAGAATAATGAGCTCTTGGCAGTTATTAAGAAAATTACCTGGGTGATAAAATAATCTGTACAACAAACCTCCATGACACAAGTTTACCTATGTAACAAACTTGCACTTCTACCCCTAAACTTAAAAGTTAAAAAAAACCAAGAGATTAATATCTAGAATACGTTAAAAAGGAAAATTAGAAAACCTAGTTAAGAGTCAAATACATATAATGAACATGAACGTTATGGATATTAACATCTGTTAAATCTTTCATATGATGGCACCTACATTGAACTTCCAGGCTAAAATCTTAAAATTGTGACTGAGATGATCAATCAAGTTATGTGGGCACGTCCTTTAAGCCCACGGCTGCAGCAGCTCAGGAGAACAGAGGACCCCTTCCCCCTCTTGCTGCCAGCAAATGCTGCTGCTAATGGACAGTGATCACGCTTGCCTGCTTCTGATTTCTCCTCAGCCGGAGATGAAAGAACTCTCACTGTCTCTTAATAAAAGGAAGGGAAAAAAAGGTATGAGAGCACCACTGGATTTAATAGAATATGACTCAGTAATGAACTGACTGTCAGCAAAAGATGACAAACCTTCTGCTATTGTCAAGGTGGAGAACGCTGAGCATGTCATCACTGTTGGGAAGAGTCACCTTCTAATGGGCCAGGCAGTTTGCCTCACTCTGTTGGAGGCCCCTCCTAACTCAGCTGGCTTGCTTTACACTGGTATTGCATTGGCAGGCTGCCTGCTCCCCCCATCCAAAAGTGTTTTACATTCCATTCATGTTTTGCTTCCAAATTTATTTTTACATTTCTAAAAAATTGGATGCTAAATATGTCTATTTATGTGCTAAATTCATTTTATGTGCATTTAAGCTTTTCTGTTAGTCAGTCCAATAAATTCTCCTGCCCTCTTTTTATTCATTTTGAAGTAGAAATAGAGATAACCAACCAGACAGAAGACAGACAGATACCAGTGATAGAGTTTTAGTTACATAAATTATCCTTGTTTGCAGATAACATGGTCTTATATATAGAAAGCTCCAAAGATTCCACTAAAAAAATGAGTTAAAACTAATATACAAATTCAACCAAGTTGCAGGATATAAAATTTACATACAAAATCAGTGACATTTCTATACACTAATATCTAAGAAAGAAATCAAGAAAACTACCCCATTTACAATAGACTTGTCCTTTTCACTTTAACAACCCATCTTGACTTTTGATGTCAGTACATGTAAATGGAACTCACTCTTTTTTTTTCTTTATTTCTTTTTTATTTCAGGATCAACCAGGTATGGAACTCACTCTTTTAATGACTTACAGTGTCTGCATTATGTACCATAATTTAATTAACCACTCCCTTACTGATGAAAATTAGGGTTGTTCTGGCAAAAATTTATTGCACTATATTTAACTCCCTTTATTTATTAATTTTTTTTTTTTGGAGATGAGTTCTGCTCTTGTTATCCAGGCCAGAGTGCGGGGCGAGGTCTTGGCTCACTGCAACTTCCACCTCCCAGGTTCAAGCGATTCTCCTGCCTCAGCCTCCCAAGTAGCTGGGATTACAGGCACCCACCACCATGCCTGGCTAATTTTGTATTTTAGTAGAGTTAGGGTTTCATCATGTAGGCCAGGCTGGTCTCGAACTCCTTACCTCAGGGGATCAACCTGCCTCGGCCTCCCGAAGTGCTGGGATTACAGGTGTGAACCACAGCGCCCAGCCTTAACTCCCTTTAACTTAGGAAAGTAACCAGAATTGAGAATGAGGACAGTAATGCCAGAATTTGAATTTCCCCCAGCCAGAGCAAGAACATGTCACAGTAGAGCAGGATTCACCCTGTGGCAGTTGGATTGGGAGCTCTGGTAAGGGCCATGCGTGTTTGGCTTTGACAGCTTTGGTGACTGGTTTGACACAAGAGGCCTGGAGAGAAGCCACAGTACTTGGTTTGGAACTTCAAGCTGTCAGGTTTCGTAGCTGCAACACTGGAACAAGATGACAAAACTGGTCACATTTATTTTCATAACCCTGAAATACTGGCACTAATGCTGACATGACTAGCAGTATTTTATGAAAAGATACCATCAGCATGGTGCCATCATTTTCCACACTTTGTTCTGAGAAAATAATGAACCTGAGAGACAGCCAGACCAAGGACTGTTGTTCTTCTGCCCTGCCAGCCTAAATCTCTCTAAAAAGGATAAATTGGTGAATAAGTTAAAATAAATTATCTTAGGAGAGAACAGTCTATCTTTAAGAAAATGAATTTGGTGCTCTCAGGAAATAAGAGAAGAACCAGTAATCTGGAAATTTCTTCGTCTTTTCTTCCCCTCTTCTCCCTAATACTTCTGTCCTTCTACATTTTCCTTAAGGCCTTTTCCTCACCCACTACCCCCACAACAGTCAAATTGCATTTGAGATTTCTGGAAATTGATTAGACTAAAACTGACTCTGGGGAAAATAAAAATACTATAAATAAAAAAAGAGGCCAGGTGCAGTGGCTCACGCTTGTAATCCCAGCACTTTGGGAGGCCGAGATGGGCAGATCACCTGAGGTCAGGAGTTCAAAACCACCCTAGCCACCGTGGTGAAACCCCGTCTCTACTGAAAATACTAAATTTAGCCAGGCGCAGCGGTGGGTGCCTGTAACCCCAGCTACTCAGGAGGCTGAGGCAGGAGAATCACTTGAATCCAGAGGCGGAGTTTTCAGTGAGCCGAGATCGCATCACTGCACTCCAACCTGGATGACAGAGCAAGACTCCATCTCAAAAGAAAAAAAAAAAAAACACAAATGCTCAGTGATATGGTTTGGCTGTCCCTTCTGAATCTTATGTTGAAATGTGATCCCCAGTGTTGGAGGTGGGACTTCAGTGTTTGGGTCACGGAGGCAGATCCTTCATGAGTGGCTTGGTGGCATCCCCATGGTAATGAGTGGGTTCTTGCTCTGGTAGTTCACCTGAGACCTGATTGTTTAAAAGAGCCCAGAACCTCCCTCCCTCGCTTGCTCTCTCAGCATTTAATATGCCTGCTCTCCCTTCACCTTCCACCATGATTGGAAGCTTCCGGAGGCCCACTAGAAGCAGATGCTGGCACCCTTCTTCCTATATAGTCTTCAAAACTGTGAGCCAAAATAAACCTCTCTTCTTTATAAATCACCTAGTCTCAGGTATTCCTTTATAACAAAGAAAATGGACTAACACACTCAGTCTTACTAGTCATTTAGGAAACTGGAATTAATGCCAGATAACATTTTGAACAAGTTTTAAAAGGGAAGTGGTGTAGTCAGAATGCTTTCTATTTAAAAGCAGCTTAATTTGATATGAAATTTAAATGTGGTATATAACTCTCTGAATATATATCATAATGCACATAATTCAGAGTTTAGATTTTTAAATACCAAAATAATGGCACTACATCAAGAAAAATACCAAAAGAATACTTGGTTCTTTAAAAATAGCATCATATTCTGGAATACCAGAATACCACAAGACTACATTTCAATCATTTGTTAAGTCAAGGTTGCAAAGACTAACAGGCAGATTAGCAGTGTGAAACACCAAGCTGGCAACTGGAGGAAACCCAGGAGATGGGACTAAGTTGCCCAGGATAGTGAAAAGGGCCTGGGTTTGGAGTCAGAAGACCTGGGTTTGAAGTTCTGAGTTTCACTTTCTTTTACTCACTATGGCCATTGGATTTTGGCCAGGTTCTTCCAATCTCATGTGGCCTTATTTTCTTCAATACAATGAGCATAGTAGTATTGCTCTGCTTATCCCCCAGGGCTGTTGTAAGATAATATAAATAAAATATTGCTAATAAAAGCTATAAAGAGGAGATCCTAGGGTCTAAGGATAGAATTATCCTTTATTTAAACATGTTAATGTTGGAAAAGAAACATCATTTGATTTTGCTCTCAAACACTGCATAAAGGATGCTCTGCTACCACATCGCTCTTTCTTGAATATTCCCTTACTTCTATTTAGATATAAATTGAGAGAAAATTTTGAGCTACAGAATGAGAAGTGTCCTCCTTCACTAACCGTGCTAACTGGTATGTTTCATGAATATCATTTTCAATTTCTAGCCATTGTCATCTCCATTTAGAAGGAAGTGTTCTGAATTTTTTCTAAAAAAATAGCTTTTTTTTTTTTTTTTTTTTTGAGACAGTCTTGCTCTTGTCACCCAGGCTGGAGTGCAATGGCACGATCTTGGCTTACTGCAACCTCCGCCTCCCATGTTCAAGCAATTCTCCTGCCTCAGCCTCCCATGTAGCTGGGATTACAGGCGCCTGCCACCATGCCTGGCTAAAAAATAGCTTTTTATACCAGTGTTTGAAGTTAAAGGTCTAGTTTTGTTTAATATATACACTGTGGGTTCTCCTTCCATTATTTCGAAGCAAACCTCATACATCATCTCAATGCAACCTTTGAATGTGATGTTTGATTTGAATTGTCATGGATTCCTGGGTATCTGTTGGCTTTATACCCTGTGGCTGATCCTAGGTCCTTACCCCTCTCCCACATCCCCACCTCCTGTCCCTTCCCTTCATCTTGAAGTTTCACTGGGCATAGAAGCCTTGTGTGGTTTGTTTGCTTGGAAAGGGAGGTGGGCTATTTTCTAGCTGTCACCCTGCCTCATTCTTGTTTGGTCCTGCCTTGTTTTGCCCTCTCCCTCCATCTTTGAGCTGTGGCTCCAGGAGTGCCTCTACCCCTTGCTGGTATTTATCTTCCCTGAGCTGGATTCTCACCCTCTTGAAGGGACAGTGGCTTGGACTTGACCTTCTAAGCTTTCCTGACTTTTGCTTCTTCAGGCCGGTCACAACCTAGTTCCAGCCCCTCAAATCCCAGCTCCTGGTGCCACTGGTTTACTGTCGCCTCAGTAAAGAGGAGAAAAGTACATGTGAATATGTGACTGCTTTCTCCCGCGCTGGGCCATCACTTCTCTTTCACTGGCTTCTTGACGTGTCCTCTGATGGCGTGCTTCCGGGCAGACTCACTCAGTCCAAAACTTCATGTCGAAGTCATAGTTTGAGCCAGGAAAAAGGCAGGAAGTATCCTTTTCTATCTGTGTTAAATGCTGCCATCCTTTCATTTAGCCTTTGCTCTCAGTTTTCTACAGTACTTTTAGGTCAGCAGCTCTTCCTCTTGACTTGCTTTTCAGAATCCATGCAGCCTCCTTTACCCAGCAACTGTAAGGAGGAACTGAGGGAGCATGACTCCCTGGGGCTAGGGTGGGAGACAATTTGAGTGACACTGGGTGTGTAGCATTAAAAAATGTCTCTCACAGATCCGCTGGCCTCTCCATTCCTGGAATGCCCTAGACCCTCTTTCACCTGGGTGAGTGGCTTCCTGATACACTATACAGTGTTAAGGGGAGGAAGGACTGTTATTTCCCAACTGTCCTGGAAGGGCTGTTTTGCCTTTAGAACCAGCCATTAGCCCCAAGACATCCAATCCTTGTCTTATTTTTGAGGCTAGGCCAATAAGCAAACAAAAGGGCCACCAGGCCTATCCCCACTTACCGCATCACATTACAGGCCCTGCCTTGCTAAGGGTCTTCAGCCGTACTGTGGACTTTGATGATCCAGAAGTGGCTACAGTGAAGATTGAGTGAACTGAATGCAAATTTAGGAGGCCTAAGATGTAGCTCCATTTTTGCCTTTCCCATTCAGCTAGTAATGGTTCTTTTCATTTAAACTCTGATAGAGAGGTAGTGATTCTTTCCTAGGAAGGTATCAGCATACACATAAGAGTAAATTTTATTTTTATTTTTATTTTTATTTATTATTTATTTTGAGACAAAGTCTCTGTTACTCAGGTTGGAATGTAGTGGCATGATCATGGCTCACTGCAGCCTCCATCTCCCAGGCTCAAGTGATCCTCTCATCTCAGCCTCCCAAGTAGCTGACACTATAGGCACACCACCACGCCTGCCTAATTGATTTACTTTTATTTTTTGTAGAGATAGATTCTCACTTTGTTGCCCAGACTGCTCTCGAACTCCTCAGCTCAAGCGATCCTCTTGCCTTGGCCTCCCAAAGTTCTGGGATTACAGGCATGAGCTACCACACCTGGCCCAGAATAAATTTTCTATGTGTGACTATTTTCCTTCCCCCTCTCAATTCTGTGTTTAGATTCTCTTCGAATAAACTTTTCATCTTATTCTATTATGGATTACAGTTAGGTGTGCCTTTGAACTGAATCAGTATTCATGGGAGAAATGATTTTCTCCCCAGGCAGAGTGCTATGTGGGTTTGTTTCTGTTTTTCAAAACACATCTGAAGCTGTTCCTACCTTATGACTTAGAGTCTCAGAATTCTAATTGGTGATGCAAAAAGAATATTATCAGTTGCCCAACCTGTTTTTAATTTTCTCTTTGCTATTGCAAGAGTGGAAGAAATGTGAGAAGAATGAATATGGGCAAAAAATTGACAGTTGCTGGGATGTGAGGTTTGTTTTTTTCTCTCTTTCTGGTTAGGCTAGTTGTGTTCACTTGGCAAAGGGCAGCATAGAATGGAGAAGAAGGATGGGGAAAATGTTAGAATATATTTTGTATATAACATTTGCAAGGTAAGAACAAAGTCGTGTGAATGCCTATGTGCAAAGAAGGTGAAAGATACAAATGCAGATATGTATGTATATATTTATATTTATTTAGACACATAAATATACATTAAACAAATATTTATACATATATTGCTAAGCATTTCTACATGCACTATTTAATCTGATCTTCATTGAAAACCCTAAGATGCAGGTATTAGTATAATTTTCATATTGTAGGTGAGTCAACTTGTGCACAGAGAACTTAAATAACTTTCCAAAAACCAGGTATGGTCAGAGCCAGAATTTATTTATTTTTTTTTTTTTGAGACAGAGTCTCGAAAAGGCTGGAGTGCAGTGGCATGATCTTGGCTCACTGCAACCTCTGCCTCCCGGGTTCAAGCAATTCTCCTGCCTCAGCCTCCTGAATAGTTGGGACTACAGGTGTGCGCCACCATACCTGTCTAATTTTTGTATCTTTTAGTAGAGACGGGGTTTCACCATATTGGCTGGGCTGGTCTCAAACTCCTGACCATGTGACCCGCCTGCCTCAGCCTCCCAAAGTGCTGGGATTACAGGCATGACCCACTGCACCCGGCCCGGAGCCAGAATTGTAATCTGGAGAGGCTAATTCTAGACCTTGTGTTCTTTACCACAAAGAAAGTCTGATTTAGCTCTGTGGATGGTGAGGATTGAGAGGTCAGGGAATTTCCTTGAGGATTCAGCACCACTTGAAGTAAGTGTGGGTGGCTAGTATGGTCTTCAGATGAGAGTAGATCCACTTGGTCAGTCCCCTCTAGAAAAACCTATGGAAGAACCAGAGACAGTCCTGGAAACTCAGATCTAAAACAAATTCTGGTTCTCACTTGAATTGGCCTGGCCATTTGAACAGAAGAGAGAGTCTATCAATTGGACTGTTTTGTGGACACCATAAAATCGTCACATGGCACTGGTAAGTATGAAGCATGTATTTTTTCTATTGGTCTGATTTCTGATCCAGTTTTACAAATAACCACTGGCAGTATTCCTTACCATTCTGCTCTTCACAAGAACATAAAGTAGTAAAATTAATAAACCCCTTTATTTTAACTCTTGCTTCAGCATATAATTTTCCCCATATGCGGCCAGCTATCTATAAGATGCGCCTAATATCAAGATCCTTTATTTCACATTGTAAAAATCTTTCGTTTTTGCCTTCTTCCAAATGTGTATCTCTTTTTATCTAGGAATAATTAAGTCAGGATGGCAGAACAATAATATTTACAGGCAGTGAACAGAAATGCAGAAGTGGAATTTACTAGCCAAACACTGCATCTGAGTCATTATGCCACAAATAAATTATGTGCATGCATGAGCAATACATAAACTTATTCGTTCAATTTGTTCTGACATCATAAGACATTTTAAGGAAATGTTAGAGACTTTTAGCTCATTTCTATTCATTGAAAAATTGTATTTAGCCACCTGTGCCTCTGTGCTTTCTTCCAGTCTATGGCCTTTTTTTGTAGAAAAAAAAAATTCTAAAAATAGATATGGCATTCCTTTTAAAATCAAATGCCTTCTTCAAAGAAGTTGCCGTAATAGAAATAGTAAGTAGTACAGATGGTATAGCTGTAAATTAAAGTTTATTCTGACTTAGATACCACATGCAATCATCTATTATTTAATAATAGAAAAATGGGGACTGGGACTGGTTATATAAACATGAATCCTTTTAGTTGATCCCTTTCATCTCTACCTATCTGTATTTCTAAATCTTGCAGACCCTGTATGCGTTGTTTTTGTCTTCCTGTTTTTAATGTCATGTGAATTTCCTATAAAAATTGCAGAATTGTTTTCATTCAGCTTAAGACAAATATTTTTTTCTTTCTGAATCCTATACAGATGATGCCTGTAACTGGCAAGAAGAGGCATATATTTGTTACAGGTGGAACGTTTCCCATGCCCATGTGGTACTTGTACTGACTTCCATCATCGCACCTCTAACATGTTGTTGCCCATATCTGATTCTATCTTTGTTTCCTTTCTCAGGCAATAAGTACCTGAAGGGCAGAGACCATCTTTTTTGTTTTTTCCTGTGTATTTCTAGTTTTTCATGCAATATTTCTCGAGAAAATTAATGTCCCATCCCATTCCTTACCTAGTTATTTATACATTGAGAAAAAAACTGATGTCTCTAAGAAAAATATAAATGTAAGCAACTCATAAATAGGTAAGTTAACATTTTGGGGCATCCACAGTATATTACTACTGATAGTTAAAGGAGGTATAAAGAAAACACTAGACATGGTCCCTTTCTTTATGGTACTTCTAGACTATGAAAAGAGAGGGCTCAAAAGCACATGTGTACACAATGTACGAGTATCTATTTACCAAAATAAGTACAGTCATCCTGTACACAAATACAAGCCATACAAATGCAGTCTATTTCACGATTAAGTAGGCAATATTTGTATCATGTGTTATTCCTGAGATATTTTGAATCCCAGCTAGATTTTCTACTGCTACCTAGCAAACTTCTAGCCATTTTCCCCCAACTATCCAGCAGTTATATGTTTAGTAGATGAAACATATCTTCAGTGTTAACCTATAACATAATTCAGAAGGTGTATCCACTATAAAATATAATAAATATTTTCAGTGTCAAATAAAAATAATGTATGGGATATCAGATTCTCTCTACCCTACTTACTAAGATAGCTTGGCTAATTGCAATCTGACCTGAATTCAAAGCTTTTCCTTCCTTACCATTGCTCCCAAGAGCTTATAAATTATTCTGCTCTGTTCTTTCTGTGTTTTCTTTTTCAGCTCTTTCCTCAACACACACACACACACACACACACACACACACACACACTTCACTTACTTTCCCACTCCATTCTCTCACCTAACTTTACTGTGCCTTATCCTTTCTTTTCAGCCTTTTGAAGTATCAGATAGTCTGACAAACTAATCCTTCTGTATGTGTTCACAGGACAGGGATGAAGGTTCTATGTAAAGGCATGTATCAATTTCAACACTTAGGCATCCAGAAACAGCGTTTTCATTGGATGATCCAGTAGGGTGCTATTCAGGGATAATTTTTCAGGTAGCAGTCTGGTGGAGGAACCCCTCAAATGCCACTGTGGAAGATTATTTTCTTAACATATAGGTAGGGTTGAATATCTGGATTCAGGAATGACATGATTGATTTGATACTGGAAGACTTAACAGGCTGGAATAATACTGAACAGCTTTATAAATAGGAACATCCATTTATTTGATTGATGAGAACTGTGCTTACTGCAGACACCATTCACATGCATTGTGACTGAGGCCCTCTTGTCTTGACTGTATCCTGACAGGGTGTCTGACTAGTCATTTCAACAGGTGATTTTTTTGCTGACAAAGAGCACATTCTCAGTTATCCATGAGATGTCTGTCATCGGCTTTTCTTTTATGGTCAGGGAGGTCGAGTGAGGTCCAAATTCAGACCTCAAGGTCTGCCATGTCATAGAGCCTTAGGCTTGGAACTCACCTCACAGATCGTGCAATAAAACCGTAGTCCACGTGGGACCACCTCTACAACCCTTCTCCTTGAACACTAATAATCTGCCAACCAGAGACCAGAATATAACAGCAAGGAATATTTCCTCTCGGTTTCAGTAGAGCCTAATATGCTTCTTTGATCAAGATAAGTATTAACACATCATCTTTCACAAGATGATTTGTCTGTGTACTAATATGTCATGGAGAAGTTATGGTTGCATTATTTGTTCGTCAAATTTACAGTTACCTGTTATATATGTTTCTATTGTTTCATGTAGTTTTCTGAATATAACACTTATGGTTTTCAGTATTACATTTCAAATCTAAAATTATTGGTTTAGAATACATTTATTGGTTTGGTACCTGTGTAAATTTCAGTTGCCATATACGTATTTATTTCAAGGTAACTAAATACATGCTTCTATTAAATATTTTAAGATTTTCGCTTAGGTTGAAAGGAAAGGGAGAGAAACATCTCTAATTGGCTGGTACCATAGGCACTGTATGTACCTTAATTTATTTAATCTTCCCATAAACTTGGGAGGAATATTTTGTTCTGAGGATATCCACAGGGAAACTGACTCTTGCAAAGGCTGAGTAATGTGCTCAGTCACACGGCTAGCAAAGGAGCCACTCAGGATTTGAAGCCAGGTCGTTCCAACTTTGTTCTCTCTACTATCTGATGCTTCTTCTTTCAGTACTTTATGGTATTCGGCATCTCCACTGTGCACAGACTTTCTGGGAACCTCTGTTTAACAATTCTTTTGATGAGAAAAAGGAAGGCTGCCACCTCCACCTCTGTTCCAAAACAAAAGGAAGAAAAAAAGAACCCACTCTCTGCATCTTATCTGCCCATCACTCTTGCAATCCCGTATCTTTCTTTCTGTTTATGGTAGAACAGCTTGGAGGAGTTGATATCTCTGCTTCCTCACCTCCTGTTGCTCCTCCTGGGTCCCTGCAGCTTACTTTTGCTCCCACCACTCGCTTTTTAGGTCACTCCACTCCTCTTAGTTCTCAGAACTTAAAGGACAGCTTTCTGCTCTTACATATTTGACCTTGGAAAATTAACAAGTGTTAACCATTCATTCCTTCTTGAAACCCGCTCTTTCCTCATCCCTGTGAGTTATTGTCTCTCTGGTTCTCTTTTTGCCCAACACCTGTCTTGCCCACACTCATCCCCAGGCTTTTTCACTACCTCTTTTTGTTTCATCTTTTCCTTGCATGTCAGAAATTTCTTAGAGTTTTCTGCCCTATCACTTTCCCCACTTCTCTTTTTCTCATTTTATTCCATGTATGTCAGAAATTTCTTAGAGTTTTCTGCCCTATCACTTTCCCCACTTCTCTTTTTCTCATTTTATTCCATGTATTTTCTCTGTGTCAGAAATTTCTTTTCCTTGCATGTCAGAAATTTCTTAGAGTTTTCTGCCCTATCACTTTCCCCACTTCTCTTTTTCTCATTTTATTCCATGTATTTTCTCTATGACGTCCTGCCCTTGCCAGTCTCAACTCGCTAAATATATCTGCAGTTCCAGACTTCATTTGAAAGTACATCTCAGTGTGTGTCTCAAGACACCACATTCCCAACCCACTAGCCCCCTTCCCATTGCCTTGCTCAGTACCCATTGCCTTACTCAGCACCCTCCCCAAGCCCCCAAACAGTTGATTGCTGTGTATGAGGCAATAATATAATACTTTCAGATTCCTCCTTTATGACTTCATGTATTATGATGATTTATTTACACATCTTCACCTTCTGTGGTTGATTAGCTACAAAAAAGCTCATGTTCAATGTTTATAATAGTTTCTTCCACTTTAGCATAGTTTCTGGCCTAAAGTAGTTCAGTGAATGTTTATTGAATAAGTGACTAATACTGCAGATAGGTCTTTACAGAATCAGTTGAATCATCGTGGAACAAATCTGGAAGCACAATAATAAAGCTCTCCTTTCCAGCTCAGTTTTCTGTGATCCATGAAGATAACCTGAATTCCTGAGATGAAAATATGGGTCACCTTTGTTGAATATTTAAGTATGTCACTGAGGAACATTGCTCAGTTGTTGACAGAAGTTGGTCTCAAGATCTCATCCCAATGACAAAAGTTAAATAAGCTTAGCTTTGACCACAATGACTCCATACCAAAGCCCACCAGAACACAGTAGAACATTGTAACTCAGGTCCATTAGTTCAGTCCCAGTGCTCAAGCATACTGACGTAGAACTGTAAGGTTATGACAAATGTGATTCATTCCCCAAGTTCCCTTGTCGAGTTTTTTATTTTTTATTATTATTTTTTGATTTATCATGATTTTAGTAATAAGAAATGGAGTAAAGGCATTGCAGAAGCCTTCATTCCAGCTTTGCCATCCATGACACCCGCGTTTTCTCTTCTCAACCCTGAATTCATGCTTATAATTTATCCCCAGTAGATTTGACTCAGTCTATATGGCATCACTTTGGTGAGAAAGCTCTTAGACCTTAGGAGTAGCCTTAAAGATTTATATTTCTTTACAACCCCATTTGTCAAACAAAAGTCTGACTATTATAGAGACGTTTTTCTTAGTCCTTTTTTTTTTTTTTTTTTTGAGATGGAGTTTCACTCTTGTTGCCCAGGCTGGAGTGCAATGGCGTGATCTTGGCTCACTGCAACCTCCTCTTCCTGGGTTCAAGCAATTCTCCTGTCTCGGCCCCTTGAGTAGCTGGGATTATAGGTGCCTGCCATGACGCCCAGCTAATTTTTGTATTTTTGGTAGAGACAGGGTTTCACCATGTTGGTCAGGCTGATCTCAAACTCCTGATCTCAAGTGATCCACCCACCTCAGCCTCCCATAGTGCTAGGATTACAGGCGTGAGCCACAGCACCCGGCCTTCCTTAGTCTTTTACGCAATACAACTGAATTGGATAAGATATAATTGAGCGGGTATTTCTCGCTATAGTCAATCCGTCAATAAGCACAGATTAAGCTCTTAGAGTGAGCAAGGCATTACATTAACACAGTAGATAATCAAATGAAGAAAAAATGTGATTGTTGTTTTTTAGAACGTCTGCATGTTGACTCATTTAGAATTTGATCGCATGTTAGGTAATAAGCTAAGTTGGTCCTAACCACCTAAAGCTGTCTGCACATCATAACCCCCTTGATATCTTTAATGTAATAAAGATGCACTAGCACCACACCAGACACAGCTGAATCAGCGTTTTTAGAGGATTGGGCCTGAAAATACGTATTGTGTTTTTAAAAAACCCAGTTCTCAGCTGGTTCTAATGCAGCCAATGGAATCACTGGTTCAGATTTTATCTTGGTAAAATCCTGTTGAGATAGTTGGATACGGCAAAACCAAAAGAACCACGTTAATTTATGTCTACATTTTTAGTGACCCAATTTTTAGAAATTTAGGCAAATTTGTAGTTTATAATTTTGGAAAGTAAAACCTCAGAGAAAAGAAAAATGTAAGTGCATTTATTTTATCCTAAATGCAATGTCTGTTTTTTTCTTATGTGATTTATATACAATTTGCTTGTTATACTGGAGTCATTCATGATTCAGTTTTGCCAATGAGTGCTAATAGGAAGAGCATCTGGCATATTGGAATAGAATTAGTTATAGCAATCATGAAATTAAAATCAAATAACAAATATTATCAAGTGCCTACTGTGTACCAGGCATAGCGTACAAATCACAAAAAAATTTTTAAGCGGAAATGAGCCATTTAAAAAGTGACACCATGGAAAAGCAATGATTTATAAGTAGTAGCATAATATCGGAGTGATTATCATAATCCCTCTGATTCAATCAAGGGCAAATGGAATTAAGTCTGTAGTATTCAAGCTAATACCATTGATTTTGGTGTTATTAATTTTATTTCTTTACTATTCATCAAAATGAACTTCAAAGATCTTCTAGAGATGCATACATTTAGCACGGTGTTCATTAGTTTT
The DNA here is from genome assembly GCF_000001405.40 of Homo sapiens. Lineage (NCBI taxonomy): Eukaryota > Metazoa > Chordata > Mammalia > Primates > Hominidae > Homo > Homo sapiens. Next base: position 241,815,407 of record NC_000001.11, on the reverse strand, counting down.
CAGTACTCAGTGCGATGGTTAATTTTAATATGTCAACTGGACTGGACTAAGGGATACCCAGATAACTAGGAAACCATTATTTCTGGGTATATCTATGGGCGAGTTTTCTTAAGAAATTAGCATTTGAATCAGTAGACTAAGTAAAGATCACCCACACCAATGTGAATTGACATTTTTCAATCCTTTGAGGGCTGATATAGAACAAAAATGCAGAAGAAGGGCAATTCCCTCTCTGCTTGAACTGGGACATCAGCACTCCTAGCTCATGGACCTTTGGTCTCTTAATTGGGACTTATACCATTGCCCTTAGTGATCTCAGGCCTCCAAAGCTGGATGGGAACTACACCAGTAGCTTTCCTGGGTTTCCAGCTCACAGATGCAGATTCTCAGCTTCCATAATTGCATGAACCAATCTGTCATAATAAATCTCTTTCCATAGGACCTTTGGGATTCTGTTTCTCAGGAGAACCCTGGTTAATACACTTAGGAAAGTAAATTTACTGAGTTCCAAGGCAGCTAAGATAATATTGAGGTGGAATAGTAAAGAATTGAAGGTCAGAATGCTGATCCATGACAATTAACCCAGGAGCAAAATTTAAATTACTCCTTTGGCCAGAGATGAGGTATGGGGAGGGGTAGAGGAATAAGAGGAATAAATGAGTTGATTTTGGTATAAGTCATGCTGTGTGGGGGAAATAGAGGGAGTGTCTTTAAAGGAGGGTTAAAGAAAATGATATTTGGAATTCACGATGGCATTCTATACTGATGTTCTAGAATCTAGAAAGATATGGTACTCTTTGAAATAGATGGGGTAGGGGAAGAAATTGGAAAGGGGTGAGACTTTGATATTTTAAGTGTCTGAAAGCAGATTAACTTTCTCCCTCTTCAGTATCAATCAACAGACAATTTTGATATTTTAATTGAGAAAAATTTAGAAGTTTCATAACCCTTCCTATATTTTTAAAGAGTAGATAAATTGCATGGTTAGGTTTTCAACATAGCAGCCCAAACTCCAGAAAATTCTTATGTAATAACAAATATATCTAAAGGAAACTTACTCCTAGAAACATAATAAAATATTTATTTTGGGGTATTTTCTAATGGTTGCATATTTATTATAGCCCTCCTAAGTGACTTAGTAATAACACATTCTCCTTTATTGATTATATGTCTTTCAAAATAATTCAGGGGGATTGCATTAACAAAGAAGAATTCATTGTGTTATGACAAATGTTATTCATTCCCCAAGTTCTTTTTTTTTTTTTTTTGGCTTATCATATTAGTAATGAAAAGGTTTTGAAATCTTATCCGTTTACTCTGTATGCTTATTTATGTTGAAATATCTGAGTTTATTTTTGAAAACTCTTGAGGTTTTATGAGTCTCATTTTGTAAAGAGACTTCTTATTACTTCTTCAGTGGCAAGTAAACACTTGCCACTGAAATCTTTTTTTTTTTTCGGTTGAGACAGAGTTTCACTCTGTCACCCAGGCTGGAGTGCAATGGTGCGATCTCGGCTCGCTGCAACCTCCGCCTCCCGGGTTCAAGGGATTCTCACGTCCCAGCCTCCCAAGTAGCTGAGATTACAGGGTTATGTATGCCATCACACCTGGATATTTTTGTATTTTCAGTAGAGATGGGGTTTCACCATGTTGGTCAGACTGGTCTGGAACCCCTGACCTCAAGTGATCCGCTCTCCTTGGCCTCCAAAAGTGCTAGGATTACAGGCGTGAGCCACTGCACCCAGCCCTACCACTGAAATTTGGATTTTCAAGTAGACTTTCTTTTATTTTGGTTGTACTTTATAAAAAATGGGTCAGCTTTGAGAGAAGCTGACACAATCATTCATGAAAGGAAGCTTATTCAGACACGATCATTCATGAAAAGAAGCTGGAAACTTAGAATAAAATTTGGAAAAAAAATTGTGGTTTTTGGTGTAGTGGCTGGCATCTGTAATCCCAGCACTTTTGGATTCAGAGGCAGCAGGATTGCTTGAGGCCAAGAGTTCAAGACCAGACTGGGGGCAACACAGTGAGACCTTATCTCTAAAAAAAAAAAAAAAAAGAAGAAATCCAGATAATGTTTAGGGCAGTTAAACTACTCTGTATGATACTATAATGGTGGATACATGTTCTCATACATTGGTGCAAACCCATAGAATGTACAACACCAAGAGTGAACCCTAATGTATGCTGTGGACTCTGGGTGATAATGATGCATCAATATAGGTTCATCAGTCATAACAAATGTACACTCTGGTGGGGGATGTTTATGATAATGGGGGCTATGCATGTGTGGGGGTAGGAGTAAATGGAAAAATCTCTGTACTTCCTCTGCTCTATTTTGCTGTGAACCTATAACTGCTCTGAAAAATAAAGCCTATTAAAATGTGTGTATATATAAATATATACGTACTCATCCATCCATATAAACCTTATCCCCAAAAAACTATGTTAATTTACAAAAGTGCGTGTAATACAAAAGAATATAATAAATTACTTGTGCAATCTGGGCCAGAGGAATATCTGTGCAAGAATGTAAAACATAATCGTGTTCTAAAAGCATTGCTGAGGGGAAGATACGAATTTGGCTCTGCATTTTCTAAGTTTTCAGAGAAAAGAGGAAACAACATCCAGTTATAGTAATTATGGTGTCCACAAGATCAAAGCAGATTAGTTCTCTAGACAAAGCACAACATTTCTTAACCCTGAGACCCAAGGGAGGATTCTTGAGTTTTTGTGAAGACTCTGAGTTGGCCAGGTGGGGTGGCTCGTGTCTGTAATCCCAGCACTTTGGGAGGCCGAGGCAGCAGGGTCACTTGAGGACAGGCGTTTGAGACCACCCTCAGCAACAAAGTGAGATTCTGCTTCTACAAAATAAAAAAATTACCCAGGCATGGTAGCCCGTCCCCTTAGTCCCAGGCTTGGGAGCAGAGGCAGAAGGATTGTTTGAGCCCAGCAGGCTGCAGTAAGCTATGATGGTGCCACTGCACCCCAGGCTGAGCAACAAAGTGAGACCTTGTTTCAAAAAATAATAATAATAATTTTTAAAAAGACTGAGTGATCTAGGGATGGTGTAATCACCATTGTATCCCTGTATTAAGTAAAACAGCAGGTTCTGTTTGGCTGTTTATTACAATGTCCTTCAATTTAGGTTCAACAAAGCTGAAGTAAAATTTAGTAAATGTAGTTCAATGAGTTACCAAAATAAGATAATCCGAGTATTCAGCTTTCAAACAGAATAATATGATTCAAGAGACAAACCACACTGAATTGCCTTTCCCATATGTTGAATTGTTCTATTAAGGAATGAAATGAGAAAAATTGTTATAATAGAAAGCTACAAAGAAGAATAACATAAGAAATAGCCTCCTGTATGCTGTACAAAATTATAGCTTTGTTTCGTCCTTCTGTCACTGTAATAATAAATACCTCCCTGAAAGAAAGCAAAAGCCATTGAGAAGATAATGAATAAGGATGTTCTCCATAATATGGAGCTCACCACAGGCATCAAACTCCAAAGACCCAATATTGTACTTTTTTTCTATGTGTTATTTAACACTTGGTAATCAATTTGGCTGCTGATAACATAGCTTTTGAAGAGGTGACTGGTAGGCATATTCAGTTTTTGGTTAGCCTAGGAAAGGGGGAACAGGCAGGGGAGCTGAAGAGGCTGGGAGTTCTATAGCCCTCATTACAGGTGGTGGATGTGTTGCTGAGTTAAAAGACTGTCTACCGGGCGTGGTGGCTCATGCCTGTAATCCCAGTGCTTTGGTTGGCTGAGGCAGGTGGATCACCTGAGGTCAGGAGTTCAAGACCAGCCTGGCCAACATGGTGAAACCCCGTCTCCACTAAAAATACAAAAAATTAGCTGGGCATGGTGGTAGGCGCCTGTAATCCCAGCTACTCGGGAGGCTGAGGCAGGAGAATCACTTGAACCTGGGAGGTGGAGGTTGCAGTGAGCCAAGATCACACCATTTGCACTCCAGCCTGGGCAAAAAGGGTGAAACTCTGTCTCAAAAACAACGACAACAAAAAAAAGATGGTCATTAGTAACTCAGATTGTCTCTCTGTTCTTCCCTCTCCACTGCCTTTACTCACCACAAAAATACAGTGTAAATGGCTAACTAGTGACACACAAATAATTTCATTTCCCGTTTCTTCAACCGTAATGCAATGGTTATAGGACAAAAGTCATGCGACAGGACAGCTCTAAATGAGCAGCCACACCATACCACATACAAGAAAAAAACACATGAGATCAGTACATCACTTTGTGGTTTTTAAGACACTGAGGTAAACAGGGTGGGTGACACTCCTATTTCCAGATAAGAAAACTGAGGATCAGGAAGTTTAAGTAACTTCTCTGCTGTCACACAGCTTGCGAGTCAGAACAGGCTGGACAATGAACAGTGATGTCCTAATTCCAGGCCTGGTGATGTTCCCGCTACATCACGTATATCTAGCTGCCATTCTGCTGATAATTACAGGTGCCTACTCTATGCAGGCACTGTTCTAGACCTTGGAGACATAGCGCATGACCTAACTAGAGTTCCTACTCTCAGAGAGCTTGTCTTCTAGGGAGGAGTAACAGATAAGAAGAAAAATAAGTAAATGATGTTATGGACTGGTGCTAAGTACTATAAAGGACAAGTAAGAAGGACGGAAAGCTTATGGGTGCATGTGAAGAGGCAGGTGTGGAAGGTGCCGTTTCAAATAGAGATGGTCACATAAGGATTCTCTTATAAGGTGACATTTGAACAGAGATCTGAAGGAAGTGGAGAAGTGCCCTGGGGGAAAATGTTCTTGTTTTATACCAGATATGCCGGCCAAAGTATATAACTTGTCTTTTCTGATACCTGGCTTACATTGAAAGTACATGCTTTGTCCTATATAGTTTAGACTTTTTTTTGTCTCATGTAAAAATTATCATTGGTGATTATTATCAATTGGTAATTATTATGAACTGTTGCCAGCTTGGTGGGAGTAAAATCTGGTAGACTAAATCTAATTATGTCATCCTAAAATATAATAAGATATGGCAGAAAATATTGAGGCCACACACAGACAGGTGGGTGGGCTTGGCCTCAAAATTGGGCTGAATTAAATAGCAGATGGGGTTTCAGGATATTATAGAATAAAGATAGCCAGGGTTTTATGGCCAATATTGAATCCGCTGCTAGATTTAATTCAGTAACTCAATTTCATCAGATTTCTAAAAGTATACAATTTCCCTGCTTTCAAAAGGTTTATAATGTAGTTTCGCTGAAAACAAAAGAACAAAGCAAAGCACTCAAACATATAAATAAATTAAATAACACAAGGTGTATAGCCAAGGTTCATTGTCCAGCCTGTTCCAACTCACAAGCTGTGTGACAGCAGATAAATTACTTAATCTTCACTGGGAACTAGGAGACTCTTGGCCGCTCTGTTCAAGCACTCAGGGTCTGGTTAATATTTATTCCTTATTTCGCCCCAGTATTAAAAAATAATATCCCTTATTCTGTAGTCTTGAATTTCTCTGTTACACAGAGGTACCCAGTGATGACATGCACCTCCTTTGGTCTTAAAATATTTGACCCTCTCCTTCACCCTCCTAGTTCAGTACTTCTTAACCCTGGCAGTAAGTGAGGAGCCCTCACCTGGAGAGATTAAAACAGTAACAACAAAAATGATGCCTATACCTCTTCCCTGAGATTGAAATGTAACTCTAATCCCCGGCCCCCATTAGTTTTTTCCTGCTGCTATAAAAAATAACACAATCTTAATGGCTTAATAAAACATGAACTTATTATCCTAGAATTCTCGAGGCCAGAAGTCTGAAATGATTGTCCTGGGGCTAAACTCAGGGTATGGGCAGGACCACGTTCCTGCTGGAGGCTCCAGGGAGAATCTGTTTTCTTGCTTCTCCAGCTTTAGAGGGAGCCCACATTCCTGTGTGGTTTCTCCTAGCTTCAAAGCACCTCACTCCAACCCTTCCTTCTGTCACCAAATCTCTATTGATTGACTTTAACTCTCTCCTCCTTCTCAACACTTTTGGGATTACCTTGGGCTCACCTGACTAATCCAGGATAATCTCCCCACCTCAAAATGCTTAATTTAATCAATCTGCAAAGCCCCCTTTTCCGTGTGAGGTAAATGCACAGATTCTGGGGATTAGATGTAGACATATTTGGGAGAAATTATTCTGTACATCCCCTCACCCCCCCTCCCCCCAACACACAGGAAGTGTGATTTTGTGAAATTTCTCCTTGTGATTCCAGTGTTCAGCTATTTGAGAATCATTGCCTTCGTTGATATGCAGCATCTATACAATTTTTATGTTTTTCTTATCTATTGATGCGAGAGGACATAATACTAACAACAACATTAAGAATAATGATAATGGCAAGCACTTGACTACTGCTTCCTATGGGTAGGACATCTAGCATTTTTAATATATTAACTCATTTAATCTTCACAACAACTATGTGTATTAAGTACCACTCAAATGCCAAGAGGAATGAAATGTCACATGACATTTTTTGCCTGGCCCCAAACCAGTCCAGTTTAGGACATCACCAAGTAACTCTTTAGCAGCCTTCATCCTTCTCTCATAGCTCATTATTTAGAAATGAAACACAAAATTAATAGGAGAAACTAGTGTATTTTTTTAAAGGCACAACATGCAGTAATTCTAAACATCAGGTCATGAGAGCAGTTTTGTTCTATTTTTAATGCTTGTAACATGTAGTTTTGAGTTTTTTTTTTAACTTTCATTGGTAAATATAGCATAGCTACAGATAATTGAACAAAACACAGATGTAAAGCTTTATTTATCATCACCAAGGGAACATCACTGTAGCCATCAGCAAGTCAAGAAACAGAATGTTCCCAGTGGCCAGGAGGCCTCTTCCATGCCCCTTGTTTACCAATCAGTTTCCGTCAGAGGAAACAGTGAGGGCTGCTACAGAATGTGGGATTTCTTATGAGGGTTTCACCTTACACAATCGTGGTGGCTTGGTGAACAGTTTATATACAGCTGTTGCTTCTGGGTCTTATGCTGGCTCTGAAATGAGCAGGGCAGGCAATCTGGCCCAGAAGTTGGAAAAGCTGAAGAAGAAGGTCTTGGGTAGTTGTAAGAGCAGAGATTGCCTCATTCCCAAGTGATTCAGGAAATTGGGGACAACATCCACTAAATGCAACAGTACTTTGCACCTGCCTTTTGTGCACAAAAACACATGGCTGCTATTTCACTTCTGCCTTCTGTATTATACCGAGGTTCAGGTAGCCTATGCTAACTTAGAATTGCATGGAAGAAAATTCTGGATAAAATAGTTAGTTACAGCTAAGCTAAGTGGACACAGTACAAATCTACCATACCGCCTCCCAATAGCTACATTTTCCTTCTGCTGAAAAGATAACCACTATCCCAATTCTTATTTATTATTATATTTTTTGAGACAGAGTTTCAGTCTTGTCGCCCAGGCTGGAGTGCGGTGGTGCAATCTCGGCTCTCTGCAACCTCCGCCTCCCAGGTTCAGGCGATTCTCCTGCCTCAGCCTCCTGAGTAGCTGGGATTACAGGCACCTGACACCACGTCTGGCTAATTTTTGTGTTTTTAGTAGAGATGGGGTTTCACCACGTTGGCCAGGCTGGCCTCGAACTCCTGACCTCAGGTGATCCACCCACCTCAGCCTCCCAAAGTGCTGGGATTACAGGCATGAGCCACCATGCCCAGCCTTATCGCAATTCTTATGGAAACCACTTCCTTGTGGTTTCTTCCATCTCTTTCTTTCTTTCTTTCTTTTCTTTCTTTTCTTTTCTTTCTTTCTTTTTCTTTCTTTCTTTGTTTCTCTCTCTCTCTCCACCTCCCTCTCTCTCTCTTTCTTTCTCTCTCTCTCCCCCTCCCTCCCTCTCTCTTTCTCTCTCTCTCTTTCTCTTTCTTTCTTTCTTTTCTTTCTTATATAATGCGTAATTATTTATTCCTAAACACTTTAGTTTAGTTTTCTATTTTTTAAAAAATTTAAGTGGAATCCCTTAGTTTGGGATAATTTTTGTCTGGCTTCTGTTCAACACTGTATTTTTGAGATTCACCCATGTTTTATGCATAATTAATTTATTCATTTTTATTGTATTCTGTTATATGAATATACCAAGAGTTATTTAGCCATTCCACCACTGGTGGACATTGAGATTGTTTCCAGTTCTGAGCTGTTGTGAATAATGTGGCTAGAAACATTCTCTTACATGTCTCTTCGTATACATGTGCACATATTTCTGTTAGATATACACCAAGGAGTGGAACTGCTGAGTCACAGAATGTTTGTTTGTCAATGTTAGTAGATAATATCAAAGTGTTTCCCAAAATGACTCAACCAATTTACACGTCCACCAGAGGTCCACAAGAATTGCTGTTGTTGCACATCCTTGCTGACATTTGGTATTGTTGGTCCTTTTAATTTAAGTAATTCTGAGGGTTTTCTAGTGGTATAGTGTGTGTGTGTGTGTGTGTGTGTGTGTGTGTGTGTAATTTTTTTAACAGATTTTATTTTTTAGAACAATTTTAGTGCATAGCCTTTCCCAATATCAGCATCTCCTACCAGAGTGATATATTTGTTACAAGTGATGAACCTACACTGACACGTCTTTATTATCCAAAGTCCATAGTCTCTATGTTTAGGTTCACACTTGGTGTTGTACATTCTGAATTTGGACATGTATGAAATATATGTATTCACCATTGTAGTGTGATGTGGAGTAGTTTCACTGCCCTAAAAATCTGTGCTTCACCTATTCATCACTCCCTCACTCCCTAACTTCTGGCTACCATTGATCTTTTGACTGTTTCCATACCTTTTGCCTTTTCCAGAATGCCATATAGTTGGAATCATACAGTATGCAGCCTTTTCAGAGTGGCTTCTTTCACTTACTTATGTGCATTTACATTTCCTCCCATCTTTTTATGGCTTGATAGTTCATTTCTTTTTAGTGAAGAGTAATATTTCATTGTCTGGTTGTACTAGTTTATCTATTCACCTACTGAAGGACATTTTTGTTGCTTCCAAATTATGGCAGTTATGGATAAAGCTGCTATAAACATCAGCATGCAGGTTTTTGTGTGGACATAAGTTTTCAGCTCTTTTGGGTAAATAACAAGAAGTGTAATTGCTGTATCATATGGTAAGAGTATGTTTAGTTTTATTTAAAAAACTGCCAAGCTGTCTTCCAAAGTGGTTGTGCCATTTTGCATTCCCAGCAGCAATGAATGAGAGTTCTTGTTGCTTCACATCCCCACCAGCATTTGGTGGTATCCTCGTTCTGGATTTTGGTCCTTCTAATACATGTATAGTGGTTTCTCATTGTTTTAATTAGTATTTCATTGATGACATAGGATGTTGAGCATCTTTTCATATGCTTGTTTGCCAACTGTATATCTTCCTTGATGAGATGTCTGTTAAAGTCTTTGGCTCATTTTAAAATTGAGTTGTTTGTGTTCTTACTGTTGGGTTTTTTGTTTGTTTGTTTGCTTTGAAACAGAGTCACACTCTGTCATCCAGGCTGGAGTGCAGTGGTGCGATCTCAGCTCACTGCCACTGTAATTTTCACCTCCTACGTTCAAGTGATTCTCCTGCCTCAGCCTCCCAAGTAGCTGGGACTACAGGGACGCTCCACCATGCCCCGCTAATTTTTGTATTTTTAGTAGAGACGGGGTTTCACCATGTTGGCCAGGCTGGATTCGAATGCCTGACCTCAGGCAATCTGCCCAGCTTGGCCTCCCAAAGTGCTGAGATTACAGGTGTGAGCCACCACGCCTGGCCTACTGTCGAATTTTATTATTTATGTTTATTTATTTTGAGGCAGAGTCTTGCTCGGTTGCCCAGGCTGGAGTGTAGCGGTGCAATCTTGGCTCACTGTCACTGCAACCTCTGTCTTCCAGGTTCAAGCAGTTCTCCTGCCTCAGCCTCCCGAGTAGCTGGGACTACAGGCATGTGTCACCATGACTGATAATTTTTGTATTTTTAGTAGAGATGGGGTCACCATGTTGGCCAGGCTGGTCTGGAACTTCTGGCCTTAAGTGATCCACCCATCTTGGCCTCCTAAAGTGCTGGGATTACAGGCCTGAGCCACCATGCCTGGCACTGTAGAGTTTTAATAGTTCTTCTTATATATTAGATAACAGTTCTTTATCAGATGTGTCTTTTGCAAACATTTTCTCCCAGTCTTTGTCTTGTCTTTTCATTCTCTTGACAGTGTCTCTTACAGAGCAGATAATTTTAATCTTAATGAAGTGCAGTTTACAAAGCCAGGCATGGTGGCTTATGCCTATAATCTTAGCATTTTGGAAGGCTGAGGTGGACGGATTGCCTGAGCTCAGGAGTTTGAGACCAGCCTGGGCAACATGGCGAAACCCTGTCTCTACTAAAATGCAAACAAGTAGCAGGGTGTGGTGGCATGTGCCTGTAGTCCCAGCTACTTAGGAGGCTGAGGCACGAGAATTGCTTGAACCTAGGAAGTGGAGGTTGCAGTGAGCAGAGATTGTGCAATTGCACTCCAGCCAGGCGACACAGCAAGACTCTGTCTCCAAAAAAAAAAAAAAAAAAAAAGAGAGAGAGAGGCTCTATTTATGAGGTGAACTTTATCAATTCCTTATTTCATAGATTGTGTCTTTGGTGTTGTATCTAAAACATCATTACCAAATTGAAGGAAATTTAAAATTTCTCCTATGTTACCTTCTAGGAGTTTTACAGTTTTACATCATACATTTAGGCTTATAATCCATTTTGAGCTAATTTTTGGGAAGGATGTAAGGTTGCTTCTGAATTCATTTTTTGCACGTGGATGTCCAGTTGTTCCAGCAGCATGTGTGGAAGTGTATCTTTTTCTCCATTGTGTTATCTTTGCTCCTTTGTCAAAGATCAGTTGACTGTATTTATGTGGGTCTGGTGCTGGGCTCTCTATTCTGTCCCATTGATCTATTTCTTATGTCTGTTGCCAGTACCACACTGTCTTGATCACGATAGCTTTATACTAAGTCTTGATATCAGTCCCCCAACTTTATTCTTCTTCTTCAACATTGTGTTTGCTATTCTGTGTCTTTTGCTTCTCCATATTAGCTTTAGAATCAGTTCCTCAATATCCCCAAAGTAATTTTCTGGGGTTTTGGTTGGGATTGCATTGAATTTTTAGATCAAGTTGGGAAAAACTGACATCTTGATGATATTGAATCTTCTTACCCATGAACATGGAATATTTCTCCTTTATTTAGTTACTTGATTTCTTTCATCAGAGTTTTGGGGTTTTCCTCATATAGTTCTTCTACATATTTTGTTAGGTTTTTGCCTAAGTATTGTGTTTTTAATTTCAATTCCACGTGTTCATTGCTGGTAAATAGGGAAGCAATTGACTTTTGTGTATTAATCTTGCATTCAACAACCTTGGGTATAATTGATTATTAATCCCAGGAGGGTATTTTTTGTTTTTGGTTGAATCTTTCATCTAATATGGTTCTGATTAGCATTACCTTGATTACTATTAAGAAAGTTGAGCATTTTTTAATATATGTATTGACTATTTGCATAACCTCTTCTCTGAAGTGTTAGTTCATGGTTTTTTTTTTTTTTTTTTGCCTATCCTACTGGATTGCCTTGATTTTTCTTATTGATTTGTTGGAGTTCTTTATATATTTTAGATATAAGTCCTTTCTTAGTTACAGGTAATGAAAATCTCTGCCATTCTACAGCTTGCCTTTTTTCTTTCTTAATAGTCTCTCTTTGGTAAACAGGAATTTTAAACTGTAATATAATTCAATTTACCTATCTTTTCTTTTGTACTCAGTGCTTCAAGAGATCTTGTAGCTTCTGTTTTTGCCTTCTTGAAACCATCAGATCATTATGTGAAGAATTGTGGTCTCGCCTCTTTGTGTTTTTGTTTTGTTTTGTTTTGTGTTTGAGACAGGATTTCGCTCCCTCACTCAGGCTGGTGTGCAGCGGTGCGATCTCAGCTCACTGCAGCCTTGACACCCCAGGCCCAAGTGATCTTTCCACCTCAGCATCTCCAGTAGCTGGAACTACAGGCCTGTGCCACCACACCCAGCTAATTTGTGTATTTACTGTAGAGACAGAGTTTTGCTATGTTGCCTAGGCTGGTCTCAAACTTCTGCGCTCAAGTGATCCTTCCACCTCAGCCTCCCCAAGTTCTGGAATTACAGACTGTAATCTGGCCCCTTGGCTCTTTGGAGATGAGAGATCACACAGAAAGAGAAGTCCAGCCAGTAGTCAGCATCAAACACAAGGAGGCCGTCTTAGACCATTTAGACACTCACTGCAGTTGTGTGAGTGGCACCAGGTGAGACCAGAAGAAATGCCCCGGTGGAGCCAGCCCACATTGCTGACCCACAGAGTCATGAGCAAATACATGATTGCTGTTGCGAGCCACTCAATTTTTTTTCATTGTTTGTTATGCAGCAATAGATGACTAGTATAGAAAGAACTTACATCTTTACAATATTGAATCCTCAAAGCCATGAACATAAATATACCTTTGCATTTATACAGAGTTCCTCAAAGTTTTCTCTAAAATGTTATATTGATTTCTTCATTAAACTTTTTTCCCTCCTCTCTTTTAGTATGGAAAAAAATGAAAACACTCAGAGAATTTGAAAGAGTTCTTTAATGAATACCTGTATTCCTACCACCTAGATTCCATAATTAATGTGGTTTTAGATATGCTCTAACACATATCCATCTATCAGTCCATCCCTCTATCCATTAGTTCATCTTATTTTTTTGATTCATTTCAAAGTAAGTGGAAGACACTAGTAATCCTATTAGCATGCATATCAATGAGAATATTAGTTTACAATTCTTAATTTTTTGAAAAAATTCACATACAACGAAATGCAGAAATATCATCCAATAAATTTTGAAATGCACACCTAGCTGTATAACCCAAACTTTATTAAGATAACATTACCATTCACCCCAGAAAGTTCTTTCATACCCCTTCTAAATCTCTAAATCTCTCTGTGATATTTGCCCTCTCTTCCAGAGGCCACCATTGTTTTAATTTTTTAAACTGAGTGTTAGTCTTTCCTGTTGTAGAATTTTATAAACGTGGAATCATACAACATGTATTCTTTCTGTAAAGTTTTTTTGACTTAACATATTCTTGAGATTGGTCTATGTTAATGCATGCATTAGCATTTTATTCCCTTTAATTGCTGAGGATTCCATTGTCCTACCCTACCATAGTTTGTTTAGTCATTCTTCTGTTGTGGAAACTAGGCTTTTTCCTTTTTTGAGTTATTATTAATAACTTTATAAAACTTTTATAAAGATTCTTGTTTATTTTCTTAAAGTGTATTTTAATATTAATATGGCTATATTGATTTTCTTTAGGTTAGTTTTTGCATCATACATCTTTTTTCATTCTTTTATCTTTAAGAGTTTGGTGTCCTTGTATGTTAGATGTGTTTCTTGTAAACAACATATAGTTGGATTTTGTTTTTTTAATCCATTCTGACAACCTTTTAAACTTGCATACTTTAACCTATTAAAGGTTTCATAATTATTGATATATTTAAGGTTAAATCTACCATGTTACTATGCTTTTTCTATTTCTATGACCCATTTTTCTTCCTTTCTTTGCCGTCTTTTATATTTATCTGGAGTCAGGTCTGGACTACATAGAAATAATTTCTGACTTTGAGAAACTTAGGACATTTTCTTCCAGATAATATTTCTCTAAATGAAGAAGACAAACATCTAGAGATCTGACTGGTACATTTTTCTTTTTAATAATTCTTTTTGTACAACACATAGCATGACTTGAAAGTGCCTTTTACTGCACATGTTCTGACAGTCATTCTTGCTGTGGAGTAAGGTGACCAATGGGAGGAAGTGGAAAGCTAAACATTGATAACCATATTATTTTAGACCTACTAATGCTGTTGATTTCATTTGTTTTCTTATGTGTCAGTTTGCTGACAGTAAATAAGAAACACCGCCTAAACTTCTGGCTGCTTGCTGCTTGCTTGGTATTCAGAGTTAAGGTCACCAGAACTCCCTAAGCAATCTTTCCCATCAATAGGATGGCCTGACACCAGAGATGACTGATAGTGTCTGGTGGTTTCTCCCTCTCATCCTGAAATAAAGAGCAGGTATCATCCAAACGTTGCCATTTTATGTGCAGCAGCCATTTCTGATTTTTTCTCCTTACTTGGGTATAGCTGGGAAGAAGGAAGAAGCCAGATTTATTTGTGGGACTAAATTTTTTTTCAAACTTCTTCTTCGTGGTGCCTGTGAAATAAAGAGCATGTCAGTTAGTAACTGGCATTCTACTGACAAACACAATTTTCCAGAGTCAAGGTGTATTGCTAATTTACATAGAGATTTTAATCCTCCTAGAAAAAAAATGAATAGTTATTTACTTAACAATCCTATGTGACTTCAGGATAAAAGTATGTTAAATTAGGAGGTGGGGCTCCTGAAGGATGCGGTGGACAAGCAGAAGCTGAAGAGCTACTTAACTGGGCAGTTATCCATTCTAGGACTCAGCTGCACAGTGTGGAAAGGGTTGGGTCAAAACAAAACAAAACAAGACTTGGTTAATTAATAATTAATATTGTATATGTGCTGCTGAAGCGAGCACAATTAATAATTAATTAATATTGCAGATTAATAACATCAGAGTCGGTTGGCTCACAGGAAAATAAAATCAAGTGATTATCAGTCACACAAATGAGGAATAAAAGTTTGGTTTTTGTTGTGTTCTGCTTTGTTTTGAGACAGGGTCTTGCTCTGTCACCCAGGCTGGAGTGCAGTGGCACCATCACAGCCCACTGCAGCCTCAACCTCCTGGGCTCAAGCAATCCTCCCATCTTAGCCTCCCGAGTAACTGGGACCACAGGCATGTGTCACCACGTCCAGCTAATAAAAGTTTGTTTTGCATTGATTATTTTTGGAAGAAATAGGTATAAAAATTTAAACTAATTTGGTTTAAAAATTCATATCAGTTATGTTCAACCAATATTCACAATACATGTCAATTTGATTTTATGGTCTATTATGGGGATAAAGAAAGAAAGAAGAAAAAGGGAAGAGGAGATGTAGAGAGTTATAAGGAAAGGGAGAAGAGTGAGCTCCTAAGGTCAAGATTCAACCACTTACGGATCCTTTAAGCTTGGACATTAAGAGGTCACATGAGTACTCCTCTTTCTCCCACAGACAAGGTAGGAGGCTTAGCTCCCTGGATCAACCTGCTAAACCCCAGCAGAGGGAACTTTCCAAGCTGCACAGATCTTTCTTTTATTTTCTCTTTTTCTTTTTCCACTTGTTTTAAAGGCTAATTCACTATTTCATTCAGCAAATGTTTCTGCAGTGTCTCTTATGTTCCAGACATTGGCACTGCAGCAGAGAGTAAGTTAGGCAAAGTTTCTGCCTTCATGGATCTTACATTCTAGTGGGATAAAGGCAATAAAAATGACTTTTTAGGGGAAAAATTAAGCTATATGAAAAATAATTTTGGAAAAAATGGATTTTTATATGATACAATGTCATGTAGTGATCAGAGCTATGAAAAAAATTACATCAGTGAGGAGACTGAAAAAGATGGGAAGGGTGGGGCTCTCTAGTGTTCATTAATTGTTAATTCTCATAAGGTTATTCTGACCAGGAGAGACCTAGCAGCTCACCCATCACTGAATTATACCGCATTGCATTTAAGTGTCCAGGCTTTGAAGTTAAGTGACTGGATTTATCCCAGCTCTATGACTTGCTTTTTTGGAATCTCAGAGGAATTACTTATCCTCTGTGTTTCAGTTTTCTTAACTGTAACAGGAGGATGATCATTGCAACATATCTCAAAGTGTTGTTGCAAAGATGAAATGAAAGAGTACATAGCAAATGCACAATATCATACTGGGCAACATTGATTTGAAAATAAAGATTTGCTGTTGTCATTAGAAATATTACTGAGTTACAGTTTATATATTCTTTTCACCTAAAATAAAATTGTGATAATTTTTCTGTCATTAAATACTTTTTTTTTTTTTTGAGACAGAGTTTCATTCTGTCATCCAGGCTGAGATGCTTTGGCACGATCTTGGCTCACTGCAACGTCCACTTTCCAGGCTCAAGCGATCCTCCCACCTCTCCCAAGCAGCTGGGACTACAGGTGTGCACCACCACACCCGGCTAATTTTTGTATTTTTTTTTTTTTTTTTTTTTGGAGAGACAAAGTCTCACTGTGTTTCCCAGACTGGTCTCAAACTCCTGGGTTCAATCAGTTCAACTGCCTCAGCCTCCCAAAGTGCTGGGATTACAGGCATGAGCCACTGAGCCTGGCCTGTCATTAAATACTTTGGAAAAACTATGGAGTATGTTTTCACATATACCATCTTTCACTTAGACATTTTTGCATGATTGGACATGTTTCCACAATTTTGAAAATGGGTTACACTTTCCAAAGTTCACTTTCTTCCCTTCTCTTCCTACATTTAAACTGAAAAGGAAATACAAACTCATGTTCTGATTTATCTTTTGTTGTACCATGGTTAATATTTTATAATGTGTTGTTTAATTCTAAAGAGACGTATAAATGATTTAAAGAAGTTCATATTCAGAATTAGCATTTCTATATTTAAAAATAGTAAGTCAAAATAGACTAAGATATCTGTTATTGAACCTTTTACTCAAAGGACTTTCTTCCAACTGTACTGTAAGTTCCTTAATCTATAAATGGATTCCTGGTGCCCAGAACAGTGCAGGGGACATGATGAATATTTTAAGGTATTCCATAAATATTTGTTTCATAAAAGTGAAATTTCTCCCCCTGAATTTCTGAGGTCGTTTTATGCCCACCATTTTGGAAGTATTTTTATGAAACGAGGCATTTGGTGTCTAACTACTGATTTTATGTGATCCACTGTTTTTCCATTTAGGCTCTTTGGAGTTCTAAAATTGTAGACAGTTAACATAGTGGTGCTTTAATCTATCCCAGTTTCCAGATTTTGTCATCTTACTAAGTGCACAATTGGTCTTAATTGTATATTGGAAACCAATTTTGACCTCCTGGCCACACTTAACTATTTCTTTTAGTAAACCAGAAGAGAGTTTTATGTGAGGATTTTTCAATTTAAGCAAATTAAGGCACCTATTTTCTATAAACAAATGAAGACATCTATTCTTTTTGTCTTTCTGGTGTGATCGACGATCTATCAGAGTGATTAAGAGAAAATAAAGGATTTGTCAGAACATCAGGTTATTTAGACATCTTAAAAATGTCTTTGTGTTTGGATAAATAATTTATCATTCTTTATGATCTCTAATAAAATTAATTATAGTAGAGTCAAATTCTGGTTATTGGAGTGTAGATTAGTCTTTATGTAGATTAACTGTGAATAATTTTTCATTCCATATTGTCTTCCCCCTGGTACCTAAGACATATTTGGCCATCTTCTTTCTGTCACTTAGTATTTACTTAAAGAATGCAAAGTATATTTAACATCAGATGAGATAAAATTTAAATAAGAGTGCAAATAGACATAAAATGCATGAATTATAAAACCTAATGCACAGAGTCGTGCAGAAAAAAATACAAATACTTTATTACCTTTAGTTTTGGATTTTTTTTTTCATTTCCAGGTCTCTAGACAAGGTTTTGGATTATTTATACAACTGTGTTTCATCAGTTACATAAAACAATTAAAAGTAAATGATATTTTTTAACAGAAAACTCTTCTAATGCCAAAAATTCTTAAATAATTGTCAGAGTTGATGATGAACAGAAATTATTCATATTCTCATTAAGTGCACAAGCTAACATTATTATGGCAAAGTTTTCAATATTAATTAAAGCAGCTTTGAATATTGTTGTTGTTGTCAGTATTTGTTATGTATTACTGAGTTAGGCACAATCAATAAACGCCAACTCCTTTTTAATTTTAATCTGACTTCATGGAAAGGAGACTTATAAAAAATTACCATGTGCTATATCTTCCTCCTAAATGTTTGATCTATTTTAATGACTGGATAAATGGCCACAGGTTAAGTTAGGCCCCTGAGAGCTTCTAGAACTAGTAGGAGAGTGATAGGTTATATAGTGATAGCTGTGTAGGCTATCATGGTTTCATTGAATGAGCTTGGAGTCAGAGTAGGTATCAGCTTATCACTTCATTTGTATGTGATCTTTGGTAAGCCACTTGACCTTACTTTAGACTCCATTTTTTCCCCAGCTCTAAGAGAGTCTAATATTTTCTTTGTTCTTATTGTGAAAATCAAATGAATCATTTATAAAATCACTGCAAACTCTAAAGCATTGCATGTTAGTTATTTTTATTAATACTGTAGAAAAATTCTTGCAGCTAAGACAGAAACTGACCTCATGGCTTTACTCTGTAGGTACAACCAAATTAAGACACAAGGATGGTTATACAGCCCTCCTCTATGTCGTGTCAAATCTCCTAGTTTCTAAAACAGCTCAGTGAATTTCAGTCATAAAGGTCTAGATAAGCTTCATTAGCTCAGGCTTATTGATCTTATTTGATTTTTCTCTTTCTCTGTCCAGCAAATTCATGATTTTCATCTCACTGAGCTAAAACACACACATCTGGAATATTCATAAAAAATATGAACTGAGGCCGGGCACAGTGGCTTATGCCTGTAATCCTAACACTTTGGGAGGCCGAGGTGGGTGGATCACCTGAGGTCAGGAGTTCGAGACCAGCCTGGCCAACAAGGCGAAACCCCATCTCTACTAAAAAAATACAAAATTAGCTGGACACAGTGGCGCATGCCTGTAATCCCAGCTACTTAGGAGGCTGAGGCAGAAGAATCATTTGAACCTGGTAGGCGGAGGTTGCAGTGAGCTGAGATCGTGCCATTGCACTCCAGCCTGGGCAACAAGAGGGAAACTCCGCCTCAAGAAAAAAAAAAAAAAGTATGAACTGAAATGATTTTAGGTTCAGAATGTTTCTGAAAGCAGAGACATATTTTTAAAAAAACAAACAGAAATAGGATACACTGAAATTGGAGTTAACGGTGGAATTAGTACTAACTTACTTTTTCACGTTGAACATGACCTCCCTTCTTCTTTCCTGTAATGCCATCTGAAGAGTCCTTTTGGGCTTCTACGCCAATCAGTGGAAGAAATCTTAGACTAGTGGGGCTTGATATCTGGAAGCCATAAATTAGTCAGTGAGACACACTCAAAGTGATTACTTCTGTAATATGAATTCAGGAGTTGGGATGAGGAGTGAGAAGGCCCAGCTGCTTCAAAATACACACCCCCCTTCTTCCCAGTTGCTCAGCATTAAATCTTTATTTTATTTTATTTTTTATTTTTAAAATAGAGACAGGGCCCCATTATGTTGCCCAGGCTGGTCTCAAATTTCTGGGCTCAAGCAGTCCCCTTGCCTCTGCCTCCCAAAATCCCAGGGTTACAGGTGTGAGACACTGCATTCCGTCTACCTCTTAGAAATTCACTACTAAATCTTGATAGTTCACCCTTTAGCATCATCTGTTAGCTTAAGTATTTGATACCTGTTACAACATGTTCTTAGGAAAGATAACATCTAAGATATAAGTTAATTTGAAATATTTGGTCTCTGGCTTATTATTTCTTGGGTTAATTAATTAGTTGTCTAACAAAGGTTACCTGGGGTGGAGACTTGAAGGATGAGTAGGGATTTTGAGGGAAACAAGAAATGAATGAATTCTGGGCAGGGGGGCAGCACGGGCACAGTTTCAGAGGTATTAGAGAGACCAGTGATGCTTAGGGCACGGAAAGTAATTTCATGTGGTTGGAATATAGGCAGAGTATGAGGAAAAGGTGGTGAAAAAAGAGGGTGGATCCTGGAGGTTTTATAAGCCAAGCAAGGGCATTTGGATTTTACCCTGTAGTTGACAAGCCAACAGAGTAACGTTCAAAATAACCACCACGTGGTATGGCAGAGACAAGGGACCCGGTCATTGACACACACAGTCCAAGACTTTTCTGGGACTGCACATGATACGTTTTTGGAAGCAACGGTCCAACTGACTGTATGATTTTCTCCAACCTTGCTTGGTAGCCCAGGGTCAGGAATGAGATGGCAGATTCTCTACTGTTCTGTGACCCCTCTACTCCTAGAAACTCCAACTCACACTGTATATAGGCAGAGAGCCGAAAACAATCCCTGCCTCTCTGTTTTCAGTCACGAAACCTTCCAAGGGATATCTTCGAATCTGCAAAACAAAGGGATGAATGTTTAATGAAAGGGGCACATCCTATCACTGGTAAAATACCTGGGTTCAAATCCTGACTCTGTCACTTATTAGATGTGTGATCTTAAGGGACTTCCCTGTTACCTAGTTATGAGAATCAAATAAATAATATGTATAGCAAGGTGCTATTCAATTGTAAGATTTAGTACCACTGTGTCATCATTCATGGTCACAATACATCAAAAAAGAAATTAACAGAAGAGGTGAATAGATAAATATTACATAATTGAAAATGAAAAGGAATGGACAAAACAAGACTGCTGGTGAAAATCAGAGTCCTAAGGGAAAGGCATTTTAATTTAACTTTAGCATTCAACCTTTGTTGTTTTACCAACCAACTGAGGTAAAAAGAGAATAAAGCGGCCGGGCACGGTGGCTCATGCCTGTAATCCCAGCACTTTCAGAGGCCGAGGCGGGCAGATCACGAGGTCAAAAGATTGAGACCATCCTGGCCAACATGGTGAAACCCCGTCTCTACTAAAAATATAAAAATTAGCTGGGCGTGGTGGCAGGTGCCTGTAGTCCCAGCTACTTGGGAGGCTGAGGCAGAAGAATCACTTGAACCTAGGAGGCGGAGGTTGCAATGAGCCGAGATCACAGCACTGCACTCCAGCCTGGATGACAGAGCAAGACTCTGTCTCAAAAAAAAAAAAAAAAAAAAAACAGTAAAGCTTAAAATATGTGGGGCATTCAATTATTTCATTTCAAGGGCTCTAAAACTCATTCTAAAGATTTCTCCAAATTTACTTAGTGTTTCAGTTAAGTTACTTAAAAAATGATTTCTTATCTCTAAATTGAAAGAGAATGTTAAAAGTGAATTCCAATCTTTATTTCTAGGTTGTACTATTTTAGTCCTATTCAACAAAATTGAGTATCTGTTACAGGTTATGCATGTATCTTTGCTCATAAAGAGCTTATGATTTAGTGATAGGGATGGGAAGTAGAGGTAAATATACAAATAATTCTTTTTTTCTTTTTTTTTTTTTGAGACAGAGTTTTGCTCTTGTTGCCCAGGCTGGAGTGCAATGGCGTGATCTCAGCTCACTGCAACCTCTGCCTCCTGAGTTCAAGGGATTCTCCTGCCTCAGCCTCCCAAGTAGCTGGGATTACAGGCGCCTGCCACCATGCCCAGCTAATTTTTGTATTTTTAATAGAGACAGGTTTCACCATGATGGCCAGGCTGGTCTCGAACTCCTGACTTCAGGTGATCCACCCGCCTCAGCCTCCCAAAGTGTTGAGATTATAGGCGTGAGCCACCACACCCAGCTGAATAATTCTATTTTAATGTAGAACACGATAATATAACATGTTATGAGACATGAAGCAGGGAGACATGGAGCCTTTGGCGAAAGTGGAGCTAATGTTTATTGAGAAACTAAAATGTACCTGGTATGTATTTTCTCATTTAATTCTCACAAAAACCCTTTGAAGGATTTTCAAATGAGGAAAGAAAGAACGAACTTATCTAAAATTAAACCTAAGTCTGTTAGGCTCCACACCCTGTGGCTTCCCTCCTTAGCACCCTGTCTTCAGGGAAAAGAAGGTACCTGAGCTCCATTTGGACAGAAAGGTAAAGTTTTTGAAAATTGTTTCATTTGAAAAGAATTGAAGATTAAATATTTATTAAATATGAGGTAGATACTGTTAAAGAATAATGATATACTGAACATTCAGGACATACTGGACATTTGTGGATCTTCTGCCTGTTTTACAAATTGGAACAACACCCCCAACTTTGAAGGTAGATACTGTTAAAGAATAATGACATACTGAACATTCAGTGGACACTTGTGGATCTGCTGCCGTGTTTTACAAACTGGAACAACACCCCCAACTTTGAGCTCTGTATGTGAAGCTCTCCCTCACCTCACTCCTGCTCATCTACCCTCAGACATAAATAGCAATCCAGAATTTTGTGTTTTTAATTCTCTTGCTTTTGTTTATATAATTTTACCTTATACATGTTTCTTGCTCAAACAACATTTTGTTTTGTTTTGCCTATTTTTGACTGTTACATAAATGAAATTGTTATGGATATACTTATGCAAAATTGTTCTCATTCAATAGTTGCTTCAAACCATCATTCCTGTAGATGAGCGTTTCTCTCATTCATTTATTTTCACAGGTCTATAGTATTCCAGTTTATGAATATGTCATAATTGATTTGCCCATTATCCTGTTGATGAGCACTTAGGCTGCTTTCAGGGATTTGCTATTGCAAACTGCACTTCTCTGAGCATTCTCGTACCTGTCTCCTAAGGAGATGTTCAAGTTTCCCTAAGGTATACATTTAATAGGATAGGCCTATTTTCATCTTTACTAGATAATGCCACATTACTTTCCACAGTGGTTCTACCAATTTACACCACTACCATCAGCAGATTAGTGTTCTGATTGTGCCACAAAACACCAACCCTTGATATTTTCAGACTTTTTGGTATTTGTCAATCTGGCTTCTGTGGAGGAAGGGCTCCTATGGAGTCCTCCTCTGCCATCTTGCTCAGCCACTTTATTTTAAACCATTTTGTGGAATCGTCTCTTTTTTCCTCACTGATTTTAGGAGTTCTTTCCATATCCTGTATACTGACCTTTGTTAATTTTTATTTTATTTTTATTTATTTATTTATTTTTTGAGACAGAGTCTCACTCTGTCGCCAAGGTTGGAGTGCAGTGGCACGATCTCAGCTTACTGCAACCTCCATCTCCTGGGTTCAAGAGATTCTCCTGCCTCAGCCTCCTGAGTAGCTGGGACTACAGGTGCACACCACCACGTCCCACTGATTTTTTGTATTTTTAGTAGAGACAGGGTTTCACCATGTTAGTCAGGATGGTCTCGATCTCCTGACCTCGTGATCTGCCCACCTCGGCCTCCCACAATGCTGGGATTACAGGCGTGAGCCACCGCACCCGGCCCCTGTATACTAACCTTCCTATGTATTACAAAGGTAGGGTGGACTTGGACAGATGGAAGAGGTTATAGATATGGCAAGGACATCCCGGGGAACTAAATTGTAGGGCAGAAGACAGACAGGAATGCTCAGGAAACAGTAATTAGTGTGATTTGTAGAGGGTGGGGTAACTGTAGGTTGGTAATGGGAGATACATTTAGAAAGGTTCTTTTGGTTTATTTTGTGGAAAACCTTGAGGAAATCAATTTTATTAATGCTAGACCTTAGCTTAAAGAATCATTTTATATCTGTTCTCTAGAAGTGTTAAAATTAGAAATAGAATGAACAGCAGTACACTTTTCTCTCTTAATTCTGCACTGAAGAAAAACATGTCTGTCTGTGAAAGGTAGAAGAACAGCTACCAAAGATGTCCACATCCTTTTCTCCTACTTCCTAACTTGTGAATATATTGCTTTACTTGGCGAAAGAGACTTTGCAGATATGATTCATGTTAAGAACCTTGAGACAAGCATATTATGCTGTGTTATCTAGATAAGCCAAGTCTAATCACTTTAATCTTTCGTTGTTTTTTCTTTTTTTTTTTCCCCCAGACAGGGTCTCACTCTTTCGCCCAAGCTAGAGTGAAGTGGTGGGATCATAGCTCACTGTAACCTCAAATTCCTGGGCTCAAGGGGTCCTCCCACCTCAGCCTCCCAACTAGCTAGGACGACAGGTGGACTGTCACCATGCCCCGCTACTTTTAAAACAATTTTTTAATAGAGACATAGTCTCACTATGTTGCCTAGACTGGTCTTGAACTCCTGGACTCTAGGGATCTTTCCACCTTGATCTCCCAATGTGATGGGTTTACAGGCCACTGTGCCCGGCCCACATAAATATTTAAAAGCAGATAATTTTTCATGCTGGGTCAGAGGGCTGTGTGACCACATGGTCAGAGAGGGGACAAATTTCTGGCTTTTTGTTTGTTTTTTTTGAGAGGGAGTCTCGCTATGTTGCCAAGGCTGGAGTGCAGCGGCACGATCTCAGCTCACTGCAACCCCTGCCTCCTGGGTTCAAGCGATTCTCATGCCTCAGCCTCCTGAGTAGCTGGGACTACAGGCGCTTATCACCATGCCTGGCAGATTTTTTACTTTTAATAGAGATGGAGTTTCGCCATGTTGATCAGGCTGGTCTCAAACTCCTGACCTCAGGTGATCCACACACCTCGGCCTCCCAAAAGTTCTGAGATTACAGAGGTAAGCCACCATGTCTGGCCCATTGCTGGCTTTGAAGATGAAGGAAGGGAGCCACAAAGCTAAGGAATACGGTCTTCTCTCTTACAACCTTCAGAAAGAAACTCAGCTCAGGTGACACCTCAGTATAGCCCCCATGTAGAACTTTTGGCCTCCAAAATTGGGAGATAATTAATTTGTATTGTTTAAGCCACCAAGTTTATAGTAATTTGTAATACCATCAATAAAAAATTAATATGTTATATTACTGGACATATTTGAATTCAGAAAAACAAAAGCAAAGGTTTTGTTGTTGTTGCCATTTCTTTTTTTTTTTTTTTTTTAAGCTACCTTAGGAGAAGAAAGAGACTTGAAAAACTTGAAATCCTGTTCCACTTCAAAGGCCTTGGGAGGTGTGCGTTTGAAAAGTAGAGACACTGAGCTCATTTTTCTCCATCTGCATATAAAGATACAAGAATAAGTACATACCCATACCTTTTATTCTCTGCCAACTAAACAAAGATCCATTATGTCCTTCTCTGGTGCCCACATTTCTTGGTTCCTATGGCATCAGTCCCAATGACAGTATCTCTACACTCAACTCTTATACCAGTTGGTTTCCCAAATATTCCTCTATAGAAACCACAGCAACTCCTACTCAACCAGAACATTCCATTTATTTATTTTTATATTTTTTGAGACAGGGTCTCGCTCTGTCACCCAGTATGGAGTGTAGTAGTGCAATCTCGGCTCACTGCAACCTCTGCCTCCCAGGTTCAAGCAATTCTTGTGCCTCAGCCTCCCAAGTAGCTGGGATTACAGGTGCACGTCACCACGCCCGGCTAATTTTTATATTTTTAGTAAA